>NC_000014.9:29914743-30217773 GCF_000001405.40 Homo sapiens
AGAAAAGCAAACACTGAATGGCACTTTTCTTTTCTTTTTTTTTTTTTGAGACGGAGTCTTGCTCTGTCGCCCAGGCTGGAGTGCAGTGGCGTGATCTCGGCTAACTGCAAGCTCCGCCTCCCGGGTTCACGCCATCCAGGCCTGGCTAATTTTTGTATTTTTAGTAGAGACGGGGTTTCACCATGTTAGCCAGGATGGTCTTGATCTCCTGACCTTGTGATCTGCCCACCTCAGTCTCCCAAAGTGCTGGGATTACAGCATGAGCCACCACGCCCAGCCTGAAAGGCACTTTTCTTAAGGACCCTTAGTTGTTTTCTCAGAACCTGCTCAGAATCAGTGTACTATTCAAGAGTGATTCATTGATTTACACTGATAAATGTAATTCTTTACATCTACTAATTTTGAACCACAATGATCAATATATGGTCTTACCATAATCTCTTCTTCCACAACACTTGGTGGCCACATCTTATTGGAAAAAAGGCCAATTCAGTTACACAAGGTAATTAACTTCTTTGGATGAAGACAGTGGCATCTGAAAATGTCCAGGTGGGTAAGGACTGGCTATCTCCACAATTTTGTTACCAGAGGAGCAAATTCCAAACCAAATTCTGCTACACAAACAGAAATATATTTCAAAAAAAATTTACAATTAGACGTACTATAGATCATATGATTCCTCAAGGGTGAGGAGTATCTTTAAAACAGGCAGATTTAGTATTTCTAAAAGAGATATAAAAATATTTCTCAAATTTCACTAATTTCCCCAATGACCGTCCAGTTCTAATGTTCTCTCTATTAATTATAAATGCTGAAGGGGTGGGAAGTGGGGGGGAATCTTGCCACCAATAAGAGAATCCTTGTAGTAGTGGCCTCCAAAGTGACTAGGATTCTAGCTGGTCACTAACTGGGATGTGAATTCCAGATGAGGGAAGCCTTCTAGACTAAGGAATAATTCAAATAAATCAATAATACCACACTGTCAAAGTTTAAGCATTTTTAAGTAAATTTCAGCCAACACAATAGGAAGATTTAAATTTCCTCCCATAATCTGATAATTCCAAACTCTTCCTACAAATCTACGGCCTTTCAAGCAAGCGAATAAAGTATTGGGAGGGTCTGCTTTTTACGTAGTAGCTGTGTGTCTTGAGGTAAATAATTTAACCTCTCCAACCTTTAGTTTCTTCATCCTTAAAATAGAGATAAAATTACTACCACAAAGGGCTGCTGTGAAAATCAGAAAAGACAAATGAAAAGCCAAGATACAGATTGGCACACAAAGTAAATGTCAGGAAGGTTTTGTTCCTGGAGGCTCCCCTCTGCTGGCCATTGTACTGTGAGAGAAACCACCAGTTCAAGGTGCTTTGACACTCACAGAATTTTCCAGAAGAGGCCCTGGAACCTTGCCTATCATGACCCAAGGCTCCTGGGATAAGCTTTTCAAAATTCTTACAGACAGGTCATCATGAAGTTGCTCTTTGGAGCTCTCACCTGTGATGCTCATGGAATTTCTAAAGAGGACTACTCCGCTTGTAAAAAGCAACCTCCAAGATCTCTTTCCACTGTTATTCCTGAGTGATCTAGCGTGGCCATTTCTTCTGGCTCTAGCCACAGGAAGGTCAGAGCTTTGCTGTCATGTTCTTTTCTGCCCTCAGGTGCCATAAGTCTCAGAAGCCCACAGACTTTGCCTGTTGTCACTGTTTCAGGTCTATTCACCACCACTGATTCAAAGTCATCACCAAAGATTAACTGACACCATTCCCCAACTCTTTCCTGCTTTTGACAATGGTGAAAAAGCTACGGCTGTTTGGTCAAGTGGTCATAACCTCTAGTGTTACTGTTCTGAGGATCTAACAGCACTAACCAATCTCTAAATAACTGCGACTCTTGGTCACCCATGTTCTTACTTGCAGATTTCCATATTAGAGACACAGACCAAGCCTTCCAAGGATGCTAAATGCAAAGATGATACCAGCTTTGCACCACAGAACTATATAGATGTCTCAAAATGGACAGTAGACCTCACCTTTCTGTAGGCTAAGAAATAGTATCAAGTCTCACCCTAATAATCTCTTTTTCCCGTGGCAAAGAAGTCACACTGAAATGTCTTCGAACTCATCCTAGTCCCTCTGCCAAATGCTCCCTTAAGTGTGTTCCTCCCTAAATTCTAACCATGATCTCCTAACACTCTGAAAAGGACATAGCCACTTTTTGTAATGATAAGAACTCCCTGGTCTAACCCAAGAGGCCCTACCAGAACACAAGCCTACCACCATTTCTGAACAATGTGAGGAGTTAGAAGGGAGGGGGGGAAATGTTCATGTTTAATTGATAAAAAGCTTAAGAAAGAGTGTCTTTAATAAACATTTGACTATTGATAAATGGCCTAATTCAATCAAGTCTCTGGAACTTAATTCTAGCACCTGAACTAGAACTGAATCCCCAGTCTCTTTCTAGCTAGTCATTCACCCAAAACAAAGAAATAGTTCCATAATCATCCTGTAATTATTATGTCATTAATATGATGGATTTAGACAACCTAGGAAAAGGCTCTGTATTTTTGGTATGGCCAAAACTGACAGTTTAAAAACTTTTATTAACACTTTAACCTAACAGATTAATCTTAATAATTAATGAAAAGTGCTTTGATTCTTAAGAAAGTTTGAAATTTACATCAACATAAATGTCGGTGAATAAATTTCAAGCAAAAATTCCTAGTCAAAAGTCAACTTAAACCATTTACAAAAAAAACAGCAGGCTCATGTAATGATACATGGATTTCATATTTGAACAAATTATTTTAGTTGATGTAGAAATACGTTTCTGTTTGTGACATATCAAGTTAGAATTTAATTATATTCAGATTCTTTTTATTCTATTGTTTACGAAAAAGAAAAGAGATACAGCTCTTTATTTAAAATGCTGAATACCCTTTTAATTTTATCTTAACCATCTATTACCTTGTGAAAAACTTTGTATACTGAAACAAGCTTCAACTGTCAAGATACAATACTTCATACCTATACCACAGTTCTTCCAATGCCTGGTTGAAAATAAATAATGAAACAAAATAAAACATAACGCAATAGGATCCTTACTTGGACTGATGAAAAAAATGTGCTATGAACTGAAGAGTATGATTATAGCAAATCTACATACCTGTAGATAATTTTTTAAGTAAAAAATAGATTTTTTTAACTTTTATTTTAGTTTCTGGGGTACATGTACGGTTTTGTTACATAGGTAAACTTGTGTCATGGGGGGGCTGTACAGATTATTTTGTCACCCAGGTACTAAGCCTAGTACCCCAAAATTGATTTTTTCAAAGCAGGAAATATATTGCCTGATTGTAGATTTTAAATGTTCTCACCACACACACAAGAAAAGATAAGTCTGTGAGATGATGGACATGTTAATTAGCTTGATTTAATCACTGCACAATGTATACATGTACCAAAACATTATATATCATAGTATATATAATTTTTATTAGTAAATTATACCTTAATAATGCTGGGGAGGGAGAAAGAATCTTGTAGGATCACCTGCAGTGTTACAAAGGGAACTCAACGTGAGACAGGTAATTCAAACAGTCAGAACTATGAAAATATCAAATAGTAATTTACAAAAATGTAAAAGAAAAACACTTATTATGACCCCAATGACACCAAAAATATGTACCATATGTACAATTTGATTAGGAAGCTTCTGAATATATTTTCAGATGGTGCTAACCATTAGATCTCAATGTTCACCTGCTCACAGTAGCTGAAATACTTGCCGTAACACAAGTGGTGACCCTTTAATCTAATGTTCCACTTTTCTGGCCTTTTCAATTTACCACTTGACTCTTTATTTCTAGTTTTTAACTGCCCCTTCAGTCCTCTCCTCCCCAATCTCTCTGACTGTACAAGACATTGTGTGAAATAATGTCAATACTTTTGCAAAAGCCTGTATAACATGCCACTCCTAACCAGAATTGCTATGGAATCAAACAAACTGAAAAATAAAAATGTTCATGATTACTGTGGATATTTACATAACTGCAAATAAGCAATCTCTTTAATCTTTTCACCCTACACTGAGCAATTGCTCAGGTTGAGAGAATCACCTAACTGTAAGAACACTGAGTGTAGGAAAAAATCAAACTAATTATCAACAACACCATATATTATGCACATTCATACTTTTCATTCATATTTTCATTACTAAATTAATACTTTTCAACTGTTTTATAATATATGCGGGGAAAAGTGGCTGCTGACAATTAAGGAGAGAAGCATTCAGAAATTCCTGAAATTGTGCCTAAAAACAAGCAATACATTCACTAGTTCCTCATCAATCAGTGGTTTAGTCAGAATAGATGCCAATGAACTAGTGAAGGGTGTATATTTTTTTCCTTTTCACCAAAATAAGTTGAACAAAATTCCTGTGTGATTGCATATTTTAAAATCTAAGTTTCATGTTTGCCAACATTGCTAAGCTACTATATCAATTGTCTGGCTTAAGCCAAATAAAACCTTTCATAACTTTGGAAGAAACTTCTACACAGGAAACTGTAGATTTAGACAGCCGAAATTTGTCTGAATATGCATTGTTTTTGTACCAGTTCTTAACTATTTAAATTATATGATATTCCATAACAGCCATAGTGGCCATATAATTGAACACTCTGTATATTTAATGATCTGTTTTTCTAGATGAGACCAGAAAAAGTAAGAAACAGAACAACGTGAATTTCTCTGCTGCCAAATAACTTCAAGTGGTGCTATCACAACTGGTTTTTAATGGCACAAAAATATTTGGTTGACAGTATTAAAAGAATTCCTGTGGGAAATATCTCATATTCTTATAGATTAAAAAATGTTTTGAATAGTTGTAAGGAAAATCACCATTTTCTTTGTATCTAAATTCTATCAATAGAAAGAGGGAAATGAGGCTGAGCGCAGTGGCTCATACCTATAATCCTAGCACTTTGGAAGGCCGAAGCAGGTGGGTCATCACTTGAGCACAGGAGTTCAAGACCATCCTGGCAACATGGCAAAACTCTGTCTCTACTAAAAATACAGAAAATCATCCAGGCGTGGTGGCACATATCTGTAGTCTCAGCTACTCGGGAGGCTGAGGTGGGAGAATCACCTGAGCTTGGGAAGTTGAGGCTGCAGTGAGCTCAGACGGTGCCACTGCACTCCAGCCTGAGTGACTAAAGTGAGACCCTGAGAAAGAGAGAGAGAGAGAGAGAAAGAGAGGAAGGAAGGTAGGAAGGAAGGAGGGAAGGAAGGAAGGAAGGAAGGAAGGAAGGAAGGAAGGAAGGAAGGAAGGAAAGAAGGAAGGAAGGAAGGAGAAAAGAAAAGAGAAAAGGAAGAAAGGGGAGAAAGAAAAGAAAAGAGAGAAGAAAAGAAAAGGAAGGAAGGAAACAAGGAAGGAAGGAAGCACTTGTCTTGTTTTGTTCCAACATATTCCAACAATAAGGAAAGATTTAAGAAATTGAAGTCTCATTTTCAAAATCACTCTAAAGTAATGCTGGGGAAATTAAAAGATGAGTAGTATCTTTTATTATTAAAAAACACCCTATATTTTTACCTCTATTGCCACATTTGGGTTTAGATTTTTCACCTTAAACAAGGTGATGGCGCAAGGTCAGAGGTCAAAGATTACCCTGATACATAAATCAAAGCAAACAAATATAAAAACAAAGCAAGGAAGGAAACTTCATGTTACCATCAACACCTATAAGACTGCATTCTACCAAGTTCTAACAGTCTGAGTCCAGCCCTGCAATATTGATCATTATACTAGTTATTTGGTATAGTTTGAGAGCTTATTCAATGATTCCAGTCTAATACACACACACACACACACACACACACACACACACACACAAAGTTTCATATAATTATCCATTACACTCTTCTTTAAAAGATTTATAAATAATTAAAGATTGTGGTTTTCTAAAGGTTTTATAATGGGGCATGGACTTCCATGACAGATAAGTGGTAGGTAGTGGGAATATCTAAAAAAGACTTGTGATTGGTTTTGCCAAACTGATAACTCAATTGTTTCCCAGTAAATTTGCCTTCTCATCTCAAAATGACATTTCTGCATATGCACAACCAATTATGTTATATTAGCTATCATCAGATGGAACAATTTAGCAAACAACCTCTAGATGTTAGCATGACAGCAAATTGCAATCTCCCTACGTCATTTCCAAGCACCTTCCTTCTCATGTATCAAGCGATGATCTGCAAATAAGCTTTAAATTTTGGTCTTGAGAACCAGAATTTTGAATCATTGTGTTCCCAAATGTTGCACCTTTATCTATTTTATTTCCTTTTTAAAAAATGAAGTGAAATACCATTGACATTGCACTTGTAATTGAAAAGGAGTTAAATCATCTTTCTGTCAAAAATAATAAAAAGCAATGAAAATATGCTTTACTTTTATCAGCAAATGTGTCTTTCATTTAGTAATAATTAGATTAGTCCTTAAAGAATGCTGAGAGTTTGAGATTTGAGAAACTGTTTCAAAACATAACTACTTCTAAGATTTGCCCTGATACAGAGGGCAGGAAAAAGATGTCACCTGGGCCTTACAGCCATATTGCTTTTTTTAATATTATAATTTTAATTATATATTGATATAAGAATAAGATAATAAATATAAATTTCTTTTGTTAATAAGACAGTATGCTAGTCTATAGAGCTTTAAGCTTTAGTAAACAACAGCATTTATTATGCACGTATTTACAAAGCAGTATGTATGTTACATATATTGTCTTTAAATCTCAAAGTAATCTTAGATAAGTCACAAATATACATTCATTGACTTACAAATGTTCTGCATTCTCTAGTAAGGTCAGTAACAGTTATTCATGAATAAATTAGTGAAGACTTATATACAATCATCTCACAAAAAAAGGTAATAATCATTAGAAAATAAAGTTATAAATCTCCCATAAAAGCTATGATAGGAATCTGGTGAAAATAAACAGCACAGTCATGAAGTATGGTCTTCTGGGGCAAGTTTTTAAACCTTATTCCAGTAACCCCCACCACCACCACCACCATACACAGTGTACTTTTACTCTTTCAGATTGATCTCAATTCTGAATCTAAAGGCCCAAATGAATTCATGTATTTATCAAATGAGCCAATCATCCAACTCTTCCCAGCCCATGGACTACAAGGCTTAATGGTTTTAACTTCACAGTCTCACAGGATATTCTTGTGAAAACTGTCAAATAGTACATACCTGTTTTAAAAAGGTTTATAAGTCTGTGAATTGATAGAAAAATATAAAGCAGAGTTTCTCTTGGGAGGCCAAGGCGGGCGGATTACGAGGTCAGGAGATCGAGACCATCCTGGATAACACGGTGAAACCCCATCTCTACTAAAAATACAAAAAAATAGCAGTGCATGGTGGCAGGCGCCTGTAGTCCCAGCTACTTGGAAGGCTGAGGCAGGAGAATGCTGTGAACCCAGGAGGCAGAGTTTGCAGTGAGCCGAGATTGCACCACTGCACTCCAGCCTGGGCAACAGAGCGAGACTCCATCTCAAAAAAAAAAAAAAAGAAAAAGTAAAGAAAAAAAGAAAAATGTAAAGCAGAGTTTCTCTTTGGGATTGTGAGATATGTGATGAGGCCTCATTTTTTGCAGTCTATAACACAAAATATAAAACAATACTTCACATCTGGAGGCTATACAAGGATAAGGAAGCTCTTAAAAATATATTTAAAAAATAGTTAAACATAATCTACTACATATAAATTCCACATCTGTAATACATAATATACAGTTCCAAAATATAATCCTGTTACATTATTAAACTTGAAAAGAAATTTAAATTTTAAAAGTACAGGCAGGGCACAGTGGCTCATGCCTGCAATCCCAGCACTTTGGAAGGCTGAGGTGGGAGGATTGCTTGAGGCCAGGAAATCAATAACAGCCTGGGCAACACAGTGAGACATTGTCTGTATAAAAAAATTATAAAAATTAGTCAGATGTGGTGGCACACACTTGTAGTCCCAAACACTTGGGACGCTGTGGCAGGAGGATCACATTAGCCAAGACTTTGAGGCTGCAGTGAGCTATGATTATGTACTGTACTTGTAGTCTGGGCCTTATCTCAAAAAATAAAATAATAAAAATAAAATTAGAGTACTAAAATTATATTACTTAAGAATCACTTAATAGGCCAGGCCCAGTGGCTCACACCCAGTGGGATTCCTTAAATCCCAGCACTTTGGGAGGCCGAGGTAGGAGGACCTCTTGATCCCAGGAGTTCCAGACCAGCCTGGGCAATATGGCAAAATACCATCTCTACAAAAAATTTAAAAATTAGCCAGGCATGGTCACCCATACCTGTAGACCCAGCTACTCAAGGGGCTGAGGTGAGAGGATCACTTAAGCCTGGAGGCCAAGACTGCAGTGAGCTGTAATTGTGCTACTGCACTCCAGCCTGGGCAAGAGAGTGAGATTCTGTCAAAAAAAAAAAAAAAAAAACACACAGTAAAATGACAAATTCTATACTTCATCATTAAATCAGAAATCAGTAGACATATAATATAGCCAATTATAAAATTGGAATAAAAATATATACACCTAAGCCCCAAAGACCATCATTAGTTTAAAAGGAGTTTGTTGGTCCAGGTGAGTTGGATTGATCAAGCACCTAATTACTTTCGGCTTTCTCAATCTATGTGGAATGTGTGGAGTATCTAAAATTAGTAATAAAGAGAAAAATGACATCACAACTATTAAGAAAACAATGTATAATACAATTAAAGTGAAACAATTACAAGCAAAGTAATGCTACTTTCAAACCAAGGCACTAACCTTACTTCTTTAGTGAGCTATCTACTTAAAATCTCACTGTTAAATTTCTTTAGCCAAAAGATGATTCTGAAAAGTGAAACTATATGCCAGGAGTCTTATAAATGCTATTACTCCATTTAAGTACATTTAAGAGTAAAATATCAGTTGCCTTTCTAATAAGGTAATAACCAAAATGAACAATCATATTAATGGCATCAAGCATCCCTAAAGAGTAACACAGCTCATTTGAGGAAAAAAAAAAAAAAAAAAAAAGTATGTGTGTGTGTTTGTGTGTGTGGTAGATAAGTAGATGATGTACTATGAAACCAAACTAGCTCTTCCTCTGGAATTTTTTTCCTTGCTTTAAAACAATTCCTCCTCAGTCTACATATTCAAGGTTTCTTTGACAGTAGAAAGTAACAGTGTTTCAAAGTGAAGTCAATGATTGTTATTATTTTTTACCCTCCTGAAAACAATAACCATGTACACTAACAGAATACATATCTTTATATACAACCAGGCTTCAACGTCACACACTTGCAAACTAAATAAACAAACATAATGTAAATAAAACCCTGGATCAATACTTTCTAAAAAGAAAGAATAACATATTATATAGCCATACATTGTTACATACAAAAAAGCAAGACTAGATTTTTCACCTAAACTAGAAGATGAAAGAAATAATTCTTTACTTATATAAGTCAGTATATACTTAGGGTACGTTATCTTAAAATAAGTATTTTTTGTTGAATTACCATCACAATGTTTCAAGTACAATCGTGTCTGCTACATAATTAGAGAACAACTATACTCTAAATTCTAAATAATAACAATAATAATTTACAGGTGAGTTTCTCAGGGAAACTTATGCAGCCTTGTACACCTCAGTTGCTCATCCCAAAGGAAATGTCCTGTGATGTTACTGAAACTGTCAGCTAATATTTCCAATGCTCGTATGATCTATGTTAGTACTTAGGGAGCTCCTGAACAAAGTGAATGAAAAACTTCTTAACACATTTAAAACAACAGATGTGGAAGACTCAGAAAGATCAGGAGAACCTTCTGCTGTAAGTTCCACACGACTTCAGCCCACATAGTAAATTGTAAATGATTTCAAACCCTCTGCTCTCTCCTGAAACATCCAATCCCCAAACTCCTGTCATCCTTCCTCATAGCTGACGTCCTCATAAGGTACTTCCAAAAAAAAACTGAAATAAAAGACAAAAGAACTCCCTCCCACTTCCTTAACTCCACACTGACACTCTGCCATTCCTACTGTCACAACACACAGAGATCCTGTATCCTGTGATGGACCTTCAGCTCTCTTAATTTTGTTTCTGCTGGGATAATAATATATTCTGAAAGAGATGACAAATGACAGAGAAATTGAAAAAGTCCTCTGTCCAGAAACACTATCCAGTATATATTTATTTACAGTATTCTGTATATAAATAACCCTCAAGTTCACATCTATAAATCTAACCCCAACTTTTTTATAACCTAAAAAAAAAGTGAGATCTTTACCTTAACTATTCCAAACAGTCAAACTTTTCAAACTTCTTTGAGAGAGAGAAGAAACTACTAGAATAAATACAAAAGGAAAGGATTCCCCTTATAAATCAGTCACCAATCAGGGCTGATGATTTTCCCTTTCCAGTATTTCTCCCAGTCTCTCCCCCAAGTCTTGACTCATGTTCCAACTAGCTCATGACTGAACTTCGGTGCTCTTTCTGCCATAACATTTTTGGCATTCTAAAACCTCCATACAGCAAATCCATCTTTCAGATGTCCTTGGTATGATGTCGCTATGAAAAGATTACTGAGGCTTCTAGCAATTTGAGTTTAATTCAAGGCCTTTTCATAACTGTACTTCCCTTAAATACCCAGGCCACCACCTGCAGGCCTGCTGCATTCCATAGGTGCTTGCTGTCCCTCTCCCTCTGCTCTCGTCTCACTCTCTCCATGTAACACGCCCCTTGGTAGCTTCTGAGACACCTGGAATTCACCCTCCATTTAAAATCCCACTACCAAACCTCTTGAACTAGGCATCAGTCTCCCCATTCTGAACTCCAGGAGGAAGTGGGGGGCGGGGTGGAGGGAGAATTCAAGCTGGTCAAAACAAAGTCTATCAATATTACTTTGACCCAATTTGAATATTCTCTGACACTACTTCACTTGCTTTAGAATTTAGAAAAGTTAAAATTGTACAGAATTACCTTTGCTTTTTGAGAAATTTTGTTTTACATTGTATACGTGCTTATGAAGCATTGCTGTTTCATTAACTGGTCTGCATCCAAATGGAGAGGATTGTATACAAGGCTTTCACAGTGCCTAGGAGTGCTCCTGCTGACCCACAATAGACATTCCACAATACTGATGTGGAAAAGGAGCATGATATGACTTACATCAGCATTAGACAAAACGTGTCATTTTCTTGGAAGTTGCAAACAGTTGACATTACCCGTAATATAAAAGTAAATTTCCATAAATAAATTCCTGGCACTCATTGTTACCTTAGTCTAGAACTTTCACAACTTTCTAGATCAGTGATTTTTTTCCACCTGGAGCTTTTAACATTCCTGTGCTCAGTGCTGCAATTCACAACCCTTAAGATTTAGCAAACTCTGTTACAAATAATTTAAAGAAAGCAATTCATGATTATTCAAGTGATAATTAGAAAGCAAAAGGAGTGCTAGCCAGTCCTCCAGGGCTGAAAAATTCAGCACCTTTAGAGACCTCTGTCTCCACTCCTGAAACGCTGGCTGTTTACACTAAGAAGACTGGCGCCATGGCCCCCTCTGCCTCACGTCTGTATCACCCCCTTCCATGCAACATCCATCTGGATGGCTCCAGAGGCAACCTGAAAATCCAAATTGCTACTGTAAACAGTGGTGGGTGGGCTGAGTCTCCTCTGGGGGTGGCCTGGCCCCGGATAATGACCCTTCTAACCTGCCTTCAGTGGCCGCTGTCCAGAGCCCCACAGCCTCAAACTTAAGGACACAGCCAGCCTCGGGGTGTTCCTGGACATCACCCCCACCACTTCAACGTCCTACTATCAGCATCCCGGGAATGAAAAATAGGAAGGTCGCAACTTTCAGGTTTTGTCGTTGGAAAATGTGTTTCCATGCTCATACAGAAGTGGAACTAAAAGATGACAAGGCCTTGGGTACCTGCACTCCTGGTCAGTTGTTTTGACAACTGGCCGAGTCAATCACACTCTCTTAAAAGCTTATCTGACAGGTGAGAAATTCCTTGTCTCCAGGTCATTCCGGGGGCACTCTGGTGCAGGAAGGAGGATTCCTGCACCAGGAATGCGCTGGTCCAGGGTCCGTAGGGGAGAGAGGGGAAGAAAACTGGGAAGTCTCAAGGACAAGGAGGGGCGCGGCGAGGAAAGGGCAAGATACCTGGAAATGTCATGAGAAGGATGGAAATGGGTGAGGAGGCGGCGGACTGGAGAGAAATCGGTGAATAGAGGAAGATGGGGCGAGAGGAGGATGAGCAACAGCGAGCGCAGCGCCTCGGGTTGCAGGCGTCCAGCCGCGGCGGGGCCAGCCGCTTCCAGAGCGCCGGCGAGGCTGGCGGCCAGCCGAGCCCCGGGAGCCGGAAAGTTGGCGCGGAGAGGGCCAGCCGGGCAGCGCCCCCTGCGCCGCGGGGAGGCGCCGGGCTGGCAGCGGTGCGGCGACTTACCTTCTGGTCGACAATGGAGCAAGCCATCTCGCGGACGTGCGCCAGGCTGTAGTCCCCGGACGAGTCCTGCAGCAGCAGCACCGGCTCACGGCTCAGGCCGATCTGCAGATGGAACGAGATGCCCCCGACCGGGGCCGCGACAGGAGCCAAGAACGGCGCGGGCCCGGGCCCGGACCCTGGGACCAGTGCGGCGGCCGCTGCGGCAGCTGCCGCCGCCACGGGCAGCAGCGGACTGGGCGGCCGCAGGACCGGAGGGGCGCTCATCGCTCGGCGGGGCGCAGGGCCGGGCAGCGGAGGGCGGGGGCTGGCGGCGCGGCAGCAGGAAAGTTTTGCAGCCGCTGAGCCAGGAGCTTCTTTCTCCGAGAGCCCAGACGGAAAATAAAAACTTTCCGGAAAAGTCCCTGGGCTGGGGGAGGGCAAGGGGATGAGGATCGGGAGGGGAGGGGACTAAGGGGAGGAGATGGGGAGGAGGGAAAATGGCCGAGGCGGGAGGACTCTGAGGCCCGGAACGCGGCAGCCGGCTCGGGGCCGCCGGCACTGGGGAGGCGCCGCCGCCGCCAAGAATCTGCCGCCTGGCGCGCTCGGAAGGACGGGGCGACGGGTCGGCGCGGCCCGAGCGCCGGGCGGGGGCCGGGGCGGGAAGGGGGCGTGAGGGGCGGGGAAGGGGAGCTGGGGGCGGGCACTGGGGAGCCACCACCCGGCGGGCGCGGGAGTCGCAGGAGCAGCGGCCGCAGTGGCCGCAGGGTGCCCGGTCGCCGCCCCCTCCGCCCGCAGTTCCCGGGGCCTGAGCCTCCGCGAGCCGGGATAGGACCGAGTGGCGGGGCTCGGAGCCGCCTCGGCAGGCGCGGCCCTTCCCTCCCTGCAGGGATTCCCGTCCTCTCGGGTCCCGCTGCCCCGCCCCGACTGCGGACGGAGTGGATGGGGTGCACCGCCTCAGACCCGCTTCCTGGGGTCGCGAACTTCCCGGGCCCCAAGGTCCCTGCCACCTCTTCCAAATGCTGGAGGACTACGCACTTCTACAAGTGAGGTGACTTTTGAGGAATTCAAGAATGCTGATCACAGCGGTTCCCCTTGGGTCTTACCTTCGGAGGGTCAAGGGAGGATGGGTCATCTGGAACCCACTTACATCCAGGCCCCTCTGGGAGCCCTGGGGTTTGTGGCCAAAGAGGGTAGGAAGCCACTCCACAGAAAGGGGTTTAAACTTGTCTCTACCCTTTTTGTCGCTCTGACGCGCCCTTACAGCCAAACCTACGTACTCCACCCCAGCTCCTAAGGCACCGGATATACACAGTGATCTAAGGAGAGGGTCGCTTTGGAAAGAAAAGGCATTGACTGCCCAAGGGCAGGAGGGAGGTCTGATGCGGTCTCCTTTCCTTTACCTTATTCTTTGCGCCTGAAGTTTCTACTTTGGAGCTTCAGAAACTATTTTCCTTCTCCTCTATCAATCTAAAGTCTGTTATATAGGAGCAGTGCCCCCAAGTCCACCTCAGCACCGCCACCGTCATCACAAGCACAGCCATCAGGATTGGGCACAACCTGCCCTAATTTGGATCGCCGTTTATTTTTACTGTTGTTTTGGCAGGGTGGGGATTGCTTTACATTCGCTGGAGATGAATTATAATTCTCCCCTCCAACCAGGGTGGGCTTCATGGGTGTGCGACTATGCAGTTGTATAGGCCACAGCTCATAAGACCCGTGTTTGGTTTAATATTCTGGGACAATAGTCTACTGTCGCTGTTTTGTTCTTCTTCATAATTTTTAATCAAGGAGTCTCACATTTGTATTTTGCAATGGGCCACGCAGATAATGTAGTCAGCTTTGCCTCTCTCTTCGCCACTTCCCTAGACTTTCCCCTTCCTCTGCGTAAGTACACACAAACATACCTAAACAAACATTTTGTATTTTGTATAGCTTATTTTGTTCTGTTTTATTTATTTATTTATTTATTTATTTATTTATTTATTTATTGTCTTAACTTCTGGTTGTGGCCCAAGATATTGCAAGGTAGCTTCCTTTAGAACCGTGTTCCCAGGGTCAGTAATGGAGCCCCAAACACTGCAAGGCTGCACAACTGCATTGAAGAGACTTGAATTTATTCTCTGAATGTGATGGTTTGATAAGGTCTACCTGTGTTTACATTTTCCCTGCATAGTTACTTATGAGGTGGTCCTCTTCATCCCTGATACAGGTAGGTAATTTTCCTAATGTTCTAGACTCAGCTAATCTAGGAAAATGGTGGAATTTTTCTTGATGAAATGCCTTTCTGAATTCTGAAGGAGGTTTTTTTCTTTTAAATGTCCGAAACTATACTTCATTTTCTTTGAAATCAGAATAAAGTTAATATTCCACAGTTTTCTATTATCAAAAAAAAGCTTGCTGGTCAGTTTACAAGAGACTTACAAAAAGCTAGTTTCACTTGAGATTCAAGAGCGCTGAAGACATTCATGTTTTATAGATATCACAACTGCATGTTGAGGACTTCTCTGTTCCAGGCACTGTACTGGCACCAGTTGCACAGCTGTGAAGACAGGTGGTCCTTGCCCTAAAAAGATCACAGTGAAAAGGGGAGGGGGGATGGAGTAAAACCACAAATGATATTATTTCTAATATTCATAATTGCAATGAATTTTTTAAACCCAATGGCGAAGACAGTGACTTGTGGGAGGAGGGATGAAGAAATGGGCACTGCTCTGGACTGGGAATGAGAGAAGACTTCACTGAGAAGTTTACATTTGAGCCAAAATCTGGATGATAGAAAGGGTAGACTTCAGAAGAACTAGGGGAATAACATTGTAGGCATAGGTAACAGAGAGTGCAAAGACTCTAACACAGAAATATATTTAACATTTTCAAGGCATAGGAAAAGAGGGGCAAGTGCGTGAGATGAGGTCAGAGAGCTAATAGAAACCAGGTTACCAGGAGTCTTGAAAGCCATGGTAAAGTGTTTTTATTTCAATTCTCAGTGCACTACCAACCCATTGGAAGGTTTTAAAGCAGGGAATAATAAGATTAATTAGCATGTTTTAAAAGATTACTCTGGATTTTGTGTGGAATATAAGAGAAAAGAGTAAAAGTGGAGACACTGGGTAGGAGACTATTGCTGTTTTTGAGTCTAGAAACACGGGTTAGACTCCTATGGTTGTAGAAGAGATGCTAAGAAATGGGAAACTGCAGGCTCTATGTTGGCGGAAGTTCTTGCTGAATGAGTCAGAGATTTACAAGGAGTGAGAGAACAAGGGTGTCACAAAAGACTCCCAAGTTTCTGAGCAATTGGACTGATGGTGGTGCCAATAATTGACACAGAAGATAGAGAGTGAGCAAGTTCAGGGAGAAATAAGATTTCTACTTTGACCATGTTGAGTTTGATATGCTGCTAGATATTCAACTTAGAAATAGCATCTAGAGCTGGATATATGGGTCCAGCATCCAGAAAAGAGAAGAGGGTCAGAAATACATTTAGAAATCTTCTCAGTGTGCAGAAGGCATTTCAATGTGAGATTAGATGAGAGCTCTAGAGAGAAAGAGCTTAAAGTACTTATCAGTTATGAGACTTACAGGAATTTTAAAAAAAGTATGAATAACTTCTTGTTAGACTATGATTTATCAATAGTATGAAAGATTTATGTAGGGTGTTGGAAATAATTGATAAGGAAACAGGAGAAGGAATTCTAAAGATGCCCTAGAGAATTAACATTACTTTTAAGACGGTGAAATATTACTGAATGCAAAAGAGTGAATAAAGAAAAACAAGAAGAAAAAAATCGTGTATCTACTGGACCTCCCCATCGCAAACAGAAAATTCCCATGGAGTTGGTTATTGCAATTTCTATTGTAGGCACCTGAAATCTAACAGTTTTCCAACTGCTGCTCACTTTTGCTGAATGACAAGGGAATGAATAAACAGAGAATATCTATAATAAACCTGGTGTATATCTCTGGCAACTTTGAAATTGAACATAGAAAACTTGAAGGATTTGGGAAAATCTGGTTTTAATCTCTTCTGGATGTTTTAATCTTGGAAAAGAAAAGAGGATATAGAAAGTGAATAGTAGCTTATATTAATTATATTCATGAAATGGGCTTTCATTATTTTAATCCTGGCTAACAAGACAAGAATAAGGGACTTCTAGCAGTGACTGGGAGCACCACTTTGTAAAGAAAGTTTCATGCCCTAATGAAGACTCCACATAAAAGTGATGTGGACCTGCAAGGGTAAGAAAGTTTCATGCCCTAGGCCTAGGCTCACGCCTGTAATCCCAGCACTTTGGGAGGCTGAGGTGGGCGGATCACGAGGTCAGGAGTTCAAGACCAGCCTGGCCAACATAGTGAAACCCTGTCTCTACTAAAAATACAAAAAATTAGCCGGGCATGGTGGCGGGCACCTGTAATCCCAGCTACTTGGCAGGCTGAGGCAGGATAATTGCTTGAACCCAGGAGGCGGAGGTTGCAGTGAGCTGAGATCACGCCATTGCACTCCAGCCCGGGCAACAGTGTTAAGACTCCATCTCAAATTAAAAAAAAAAAAAAAGAAAGAAAGAAAAAAAAAGTTTCATGCCCACATAAAAGTGATGTGGACCTGCAAGGGTATGCAGAGTTACGTGGAGGTACTTCCAACAATTTCCAACGATGAATGTTAATCTTGTCAGGTTGTCTTCAAAAGATAGTTGTATGTTCAAGTCATTTTGGAAATATACAATAATTCACAAAAATCAGAAAAAGGGCTGAGAATAACCTGATTTGAGTGGCACTCAGCCTCACTCACTGTATGCTTTGTCCAAATTAAATGGACAGCAGAGAAAGGAAAGTGAGAAAAAAAAAAAGTGCAAATCTGTGGCTGAAAGGATCATATCCCCTCGTCCAAACATTTGCCAGCTTAAGAAATTGAGGATTACAGAAATTATATACCAATGTGGAAATCAGAGATTTGAGGGAGAAAGTATGGTTCCAGTATATCCTTCCTTTATATATTATTGAGCACTGGATGTTATGTGCATGAAGATAAAGATGGATAGATGGATGACTATATGATTTAAAAATTTATTGTTGTTTACTTGCTTTAGAATGTTCATCTATAATTGTTCATCAGACCAGGCTAAATAAGGATAATGGCACAAAAGAAAAATAAGACCCAAATGGAGACATCAACCACAGACACCTGGCAAAAAATCTTCTGCTAAAACCTGATTTTGTGACAAAATGCTGCCTTATCTTGCTGATGATTTCATGGACAATAAAAGGAAAGAAGGTAAACTTGTTAACCTAATTTTTCACCAAGAAGAAAAACTAATTTGTTCTTTAAGAAACCAAATTTCGGCCGGGCGCAGTGGCTCATGCCTATAATCCTAGCACTTTGGGAGGCGGAGGCAGGTGGATCACAAAGTCAGGAGTTTGAGACCAACCTGGCCAACGTGGTGAAACCCTGACTCTAATAAAAATACAAAAAATTAGCCGGGCGTGGTGTCAGGCACCAGTAATCCCAGCTACTTGGGAGGCTGAGGCAGGAGAATCACTTGAACCCAGGAGGCGGAGTTTGCAGTGAGCCAAGACAATGCCCTAGCCTGGGCAACAGAGCAAGACTCCATCTCAAAAAAAACAAAAAAAGAAAGAAAGAAAGAAACCAAATTTCTAGGTATGATCCTAGAGTCAGAGACCCTGAAAGGACAGGAGGCCCTTGAAGAAAAGCTTTCAACTATAAAATCATAAATGATCCAGGTGAGGAATAAATGCAGAAACCAGTGTGACTACACCTCAAGTTTTGGATAAGTACAAACAGGCCAAGAAAATGAACAAAAATAGAGATAGGTATATGAACAAGAGTAAATAGAAATTATTATAAGCTAAAAACAATCAATTAGCTTTAATAGTTCCATGTTATATATGAACGATGCTCTTGGGGAATTTTATGTTATGTTATAGAACAAGGGCTTATGAACTACTTCTTATGAAAGACTTAGGGTTCTCTCTAGGCCCTAATGGGTACAGTTAGACATCCTGCCTCACTTTCAACCAAGCAGCTCTCCTTTCATTTGTTAATATACCAGGGTCCCACAAATTTGTTTGAAAATAAAAGTTCCTATTGCTAACAAATCTGAAATTCTTTAGTGTGGTAGGATGTGAATGAGCTCTGGGGAAAAGGCTGATCTAATTTTGATGCTAAATCTGCCACTTATTAATGTTGTGGCTCAGAGGAGAGATGGCTGGTTTCTTACCTGACCATCTCCACTAACTGTGGCTGGAGCCACAGTCACCTCATTGGTAAAGTAAAAAATTACACTACTCAAGAGTTGTGAACATTAAATGATTTAGTTTATATAAAAGCACATAACACAGTGCCTGCCACAAATACTAGCTATTAATCACCCCAAAATACTAGCTATTATCAACTATATTAGTCCAAACATCATTCCTGCCAGCCACATTACTTACTATAATGTTAAAACAACAGAGAAAACAAGCCTAACTCCATTTTGCTTGGTTTCTCTAGCAAGATAAAAGGATGTAAAAAAATGGTTAAAAGAAAACTGAAGCTCAAAATAAATGAAAAGATGGTCACACATTATCTAAATAGGGGATGAGCATTCAAATAATCACAAGACTGTACTGATGGATGTATTGCAAATATCTTAAAGTATTCTTGGAGAGAAACAAATGTCTTGATTTTCAAAAAGATTTCAAAATGTAGACCAGTGAGTTTAGCATCAATAATCAGCAACATTCTAAATCAGATTATTTAAACAAATGGTTCGTGAAAAATTATGAATTAAAAGTAGTTCCTAAAAGCAGGCATGAGTTAACTAAAATAAATGTTGTTATATTACTTGCTCTTCTAACTTCAAATTGGAGGAGGACATTACAGATATTTGTTTTTTCTGAATTTCAACCAAAATTGAACTATTTTGGTTGTCTTCACTATTGGAGGACATTTTTATCTGCTTATGTTCATCAACAGACTGAAAGAATAAATCCAGCTACCAGTGTTTAAGTTGTTACAAGAAGGGAGAATGAAGGAAAAGTTCGTATCCGTGGAACCAATGGGCCTTGAAAATAGGATTAAAAGAATTACATCTTTATTAAAAGAAGTTTTAAAAAGTAGTGCTGCTAATGGTTTCTTCAAGCTATATTTCTCTAACTTTTAAAGGCATGAGTAAACTTCAAAATTTTTTGTCCAAAACGTTGATGATTTTAACCATATGCTTTTTATGTACATCCAAAATACCTACCTGCATTTACATTTTTATGTTATGTTTTTTGGTAAGACTTGATTTCCTAAATATCATTCCATCCTAGACAGTAAAAACTCTGCTATTCTCATAAGAACTAACATCTGCTGGCTCCAAGGTATCATAAAATTTGCTCAGGTTCCCTGTAGAAAACAGAATGAAATCACCAGTCTAACACTTTTTCCTTCAACTTCAATATACTCAGAAGGCTATATTGCTTAGAGTTGCCAACTCTAATTGTGCACATTGGCTTTTACTAAGTCAATCCAACATTCAAATTCAGAAACCATTAACAGCAGCACATTTGTTTTTCATAAAGATGCAATTTTTCTAATCCTATTTTCAAGGCCCATTGGTTCCAGAAATACAAACTTTCCTCCATTCTCACTGGATGAGTGTCATAGCTAAACATCTTCTAGTATGAATATCAATATATCCCATTTGTTGATATTATTCTATAAACTAGTTTACTCTCTTTAATACATGTCATTTTATGAGACTTTACATTTTTCATTCAGTATGTTTTACTAAAATCAATGACTAAATTTTGAAAAGTTAATAAAACAGAATAGAGGTACAATTAATTCAAAGTTACTTTTTGGGTTTCTTCCTGGAAAAAATATTTTTGAGCTGAAATTTCTTGTGTGTGGTTTCTGTTGCTTGATTTGGAAAATACAAATATTTAAGGGAAAGAATCTGGAAGATTTATTTCTTGGTGACATAACCAGGGGAAAATAGTTTTTAATAGCTTAAGAAAAAATAATTTGCTTTTCTTGGCTTAGAAAAATTTTAAATGGCATTATTTCTAAAATTCACTTATTACTATAATATACATATTCCACTAGGATAAAAGTCTACATAATTAAAATAAGATGATTTACATGGAATTGAAATTACATTTTATTTAATCATCATCTGCATTCTTTTTACTAATTCTTATCCTCAAACATACAATCCTAAAAATTATTTATGTTGTAAGCACACTGACCTTCTTTGTCTTACATTACTTTTTAAAAATTTAATTATTTACTTATTTGATCTCATATGTATTTGAACTAAAAAGCTCTGCTCCATATATCTATAAATAGAATATTTACTTCATGAATTAAATATTTTATATATATTTTTTAACTATATAAAGTCTTTCCATATTAATATAATAATATGTATTTTTATAAATACATTTTGTTTTGTTTAATCAGTCAGTTATCTAGAGTATCCAGGAAAACTGAAGTCCTCAAAAACTGAAAAAAGCATAACATTTTAGATTTGTTTCACAGTGTATTCAAGAAAAGGACTATGTACTTTTCTTACTCTTTTAGATGAAGAAGAACATTCTAAGGTCCCTAACCTTTGCACTTTGCTGCTCCGATTGAATGTCAAAGTCGACAAGTGTCAATAATGGAATTTGAATGCTTGTTGGTTTGTCTGTGCAACAGCAGTTCTATCAATGCTCAGAACGTCTTGGTCTTCCTTTATTTTTTCTTTCAATACATGTTCATCTAGATTTGACCTTCCAAATTGGACTTTTAAAAAATCACTTATTTGGCCAGGCGCAATGGCTCACACCTGTAATCCAAGCACTTTGGGAGGCCAGTTCGAGACCAGCCTGGACAACATGGTGAAAACCTGTCTCTACTAAAAATGCCAAATTTCCCAGCACTTTGGGAGGCTGAGGTGGGTGGATCACGAGGTCAGGAGATCGAGACCATCCTGGCTAACACGGTGAAACCCCGTCTCTACTAAAAATACAAAAAAATTAGCCGGGCGTGGTGGCAGGCGCCTGTAGTCCCAGCTACTCAGGAGGCTGAGGGAGGAGAATGGCATAAACCCAGGAGGCGGAGCTTGCAGTGAGCCGAGATTGCGCCACTGCACTCCAGCCTGGGTGACAGAGCAAGACTCCGTCTCAAAATAAATAAATAAATAAATAAATAAATAAATAAATAAATAAATAAATAAAATGCAAAATTTAGCCGAGCATGGTGGTGAGCGCCTGTAATCCCAGCTACTTGGGAGACTGAGGCAGAAGAATCTCTTGAACCAGGGAAGCGGAAGTTGCAGTGGGCCGAGATCCTGCCACTGTACTCCAGCCTGGGCGACAAAAGCGAAACTCTGTCTAAAAAAATAAAAAATAAAACCACTTATTTGAGTAAATTCTGCCTGCCCTCAAGAAACAAAACAATTTAAATTGTCAGTGAGGAAGATGCATTTAACTTTTTTTCTTTTACCAAACATGTTTTCTTTGCTTTAAAATATAATTCTAATTACTATATAATTAAATAACAAAAGATTTTATGTGGTTTTCATTTATGATTTATCGTCTGTGTTCTTCTCAAAAACAAGAAAGCCATTTTTATGCATAGAAAATTTTTATCAAAACAACTACCACAAATATCTGTAATGAGCATGATTACTGATATAACATTTCGTTCTATGCTTCCTCACAGCCAAAGCAAGAGAGGGAAACAATGTGGCTTTTAATTCTCAATATTTGATTTTTAGCAAAAATGTTAGATGAAATTACCACAGATATTCATACTGTATAAGATATAGACAAACATTTGATTTAGATTCTGGGCTTCCTGAGGACAAGATTCTTGTTTCTCTTACCTTTATATCCCTTAGCACCAGAATATAGCTAATGTTCATTAATGTACTTTTTAAATAAAACCGTTCAACTACAGTTTAAAGATTCAAAACTTGCAAACTTTTTTTTAAGATGGCAGGTTTATTTTATATCCACCCTATACAAAAGCTCAGGTCACACAAATCAACTGTAAATCAGACAGACATATCCTTGTGAGACTAAGTTAATGAAGTTCAGATAGGTTGCATTCTTGTGATTAGTGTGACTCAGGATGACTTGCTTGAAATAGCTCCCCTGTCGTAATCTGGGTATAGGACTTTCTTAGGGCTATTACTCTAGCACCTATCCTATAATATTGATTTTACTTGTATCCTATACCTGGTAGAACCATTTTGTAATTATCTCTGCATAACCCTCTTCAAGTGTCCCCAGAACAAAGCATTATATCTGGCATAGAGTAGGTACTGATATTTGACAATAGTTCAATAATTGTTTACTCCATGAGTCAATGACCGGAACTTAAAATGCCTCCACAAAATGGATAGCATTACTTAATGGCCTAGCTTCCAAAAAATCAATCACCTCGGCTGGTGTTTTTATTTGAGGAATGACATGTATTGTTCTCTTTCTGATTGAAAAACTAATACATGTTAATTTAGAAAATATGGAAAACTCAAGTCTAAATTAAAAAGTAAAAATTATCTGTAATCTCCCAATTCAGTATTAATACTAACCTCCTTTATTTTTTCTATGTACAGGCATGTGTGGACTCATATTATAAATATTGTTTTGTAATCTGATTTTTAAACGTAATATACCAAAGCATTTTTCCAAAGTCATTAAATATTCTTCCAAAACATCATTTGGGAAGGCTGCAGAGTGTTTTAGAATATGGTTTGTGACTCCCTGTGGTTGAATATTTACTTTTTTCTTGGTTTTTGCTAGCACACTTAGAAAATTGCAAATAATGGCACTGCTACTTGGTTAGAAAATATAATCATAAACTGAAACTAAGATTTAGAAATTCAGTTGCAGGAAAAAAATATAAATTAAGACTAACGAATTATGGAAAGGATTGGCTGTGCTAACAAGGATTATGTCTCAAGACTTAAAATACAGTCATTTACAGATGCAAGAAATTGCAAAGAATTCATAATTATGAAACACATTAAGATGATATAAAATCTAGAAAATTATTTTTTAATTATCAAGACATTGTAGATTTTTAAAAATTGAATATTCTGGCCAGGCGCAGTGGCTCATACCTGTAATCCCAGCACTTCGGGAGGCTAATGTGGGTGTATCACCTGAGTTCAGGAGTTCGAGACCAGCCTGACCAATATGGTGAAACCCCGTCTCTACTAAAAATACAAAAATTAGCCAGGTATGGTGGCGCACGCCTGTACTCCCAACTACTTGGGAGGCTGAGACAGGAGAATTGCTTGAATCCTGGAGGCAGATGTTGCAGTGAGCCGAGATCGCACCACTGCAATTCAGCCTGGGCGAGAGAGCAAGACTCTGTCAAGAAAAAAAAAAAAAATTGAATATTCAAATCAAATTTGACACCTCAAGAGAACATCAGTTCAGTTCTGGTGTCAGAAATCAAAACAGTGATGTATGCTATATCTAGAAAGTAAGTGATAGAATATATATGTATATATTTTTACTGTATTTTATTATGACAGAAATTAATTAACTTGATGAAATATCACTGTCAAGTGAAATTGTAAAGTGGTATTAGCTTTACTGCATTTAATTTTCCTCCCAACCATACTTTTTTCTAGTCCTCCCAACCATAATTTTTTCCAGTCCTTTGTTAATTGGCTGGAAATGTAAGTGCCAATCAAATTAATGCTATAGTACTTTAAAAACCATCAGCACATGGTTCAAAAGCAGATGGAATAAAAGGATGTTTAAAACTGATTTGTGAAGCCTAGTAAAATTGTGTTAAATGAAAACTTTCCATTTTAACAATCAAATCTAGACTATTGAGTAATGATACAATTGATAAAATAATTTAGTTGCCTAAATTAACATAGTTTAAAAAGTAATTAAACAACACAATTCTATTTGGCCTATAGCATTTGCTTGGTTCATCTTCAGATTATGTCTGTCTGATATCTAACAAACCATGTACTTAAGTAGTTAAATTGCTATCTGTGGAACACTTTAGCAGCCCACAGCTTTGAAACAATCTGGGGAAGACTAGCTTCTTTCGAACGAATGTCTAACACACACACACTCATACACCTGTACTGTATTAGTCAAACTAAACCTATAGGCATTATAAAATAGCCTTCTTAGCCTAATCTCAAAAATACAGAATTTAGCTGGGCAAGGTGGCTCATACCTGTAATCCCAGCACTTTAGGAAGTCAAGGTGAAAAGATTGCTTGAGGCTAGGAGTTCCAGACAAACCTGGGCAACACAGCAATATCCTTTCTCTACAAAAAAATAAAAAATTAATTGGGTGTGGTGGCATGCACCTGTTGTCTTGAACTCCTATGCTCAAGTAATCCTCCCACCTCAAACTCCCAAATAATCTTAGCTGCTATGAAAGTTCAAGGTTACATTTAGCTATGATTGTGCCGCTGCTCTCTAGCATGGGCAACAGAGTGAGACCCTGCCTCTAAAAAAAAAAAAACCAAAAAACAAAAAACAAAAAATCAAACAAAAATACAGAGTTTATTTTTTTTAATGTCACAATGGTGAATATGGATGTTATGAACTAAATTGTATCCCTAGCAAAATTGATATGTTGAAACTCTAACCCCAGTACCTCAGAATGTGATGACATTTGGAGATAGGGCCTTTGAAGGGGTAATGAAGTTAAAATGAAGCCATTAGTTGTGGGCTCTAATCCAGTCTGACTGGTGTCCTTATAAGAGGATTTTAGGGCATACAGAAAGATGTGCACAGAAGGAGGACCATGTGCAAAGACAAGAAGATGGCCATCTGCAATTCAAAGAGAAAGACTGACAGAAACCAATCCTACCAGCACTTAATCTTGGACTTCCAGCCTCCAGAATTGTGAGAAAATAAACTTTTGTTGCTTAAGCCACTGTTTTTGTCCATTTTCTGTTGTTATAACTGAATACATGAGACTAGACAATTTATAAAGAAAATAAACTTATTTCTTACACTTCTGGAGGCTACGAAGTCCAAGATTTTGGTGTGGGAAACTAGTAGAGGCTTCCCTGCTGCTCATAACATGACAGAGGGCATTATGTGGTGAGAGGGCAAGAGCATGTTTCACCTCAGTTCCTGCTTCCTCATTTTATAAAACTACTAATCCCATCATGAGGACCCCCACTTTAATGACCTTATCTAATCCTAATTACCTCCCCAAGGCCCTACCTCCAATCAACACATAAATTTGAGCATTAAGTTTCCAACACATGAAATTTGGGGGACACATTCAAATGATAGCAGCCACCAGGTCTTTGGCATTTTGTTATGCCAGCCTGATATGGTTTGGATCTCTTCCCACCCAAATCACATGTTTAATTGTAGTACCCAGTGTTGGAGGTGGGGCCCGGCAGGAGGTGATTGGATCATGGAGGTGGATCTTTCATGAATGGTTCAGCATCATCCCCTTGGTGGTGGTTGTGATCGAGTTCTCACAAGAGCTGATTGTTTAAAAGTATGGGGCACCTCCCCCAACTCATCCTCCTGCTCCAGCCATGTGAAGTACTGGCTTTTTCTTTGCCTTCTACCATAATTATCTGTTTCCTGAGGCCTCCGCAGAATCCAAGCAGATGCCAGCATCATGCCTGCTGTACATCCCACAGAACTGTAAGCCCATTAAACTTCTTTTCTTTATAAATGACCCAGTCTTAGGTATTTCTTTATAGCAGTGTGAGAATGGACTAATACAGAAAATTGGTACTGAGGAGTGGGACATTGCTATAAAGATACTTGAAAATGTGGAAGCAGCTTTGGAACTGGGTAATGGGCAGAGATTGGAAGAGTGTGGAGGAGAGCTCAGAAGTCAGGAAAATGAGGGAAAGTTTGGAACTTCCTAGAGACTTGTTAAATTGTTCTGACCAAAATGCTGATAGTGATATGGACAGTGAAGACCAGGCTGAGGAGGTCTCAGATGGAAGTGAAGAACTTATTGGGAACTGGAGTAAAGGTCACTTTCATTAGGCCTTAGCAAAGAGCTTGGTTGTATTCTGCCCCTGCCCTAGGGATCTGTGGAACTATGAATTTGAGAGTGATGATTTAGTGTATCTGGTGGAAGAAATTTCTAAGCAACAAAGCATTCAAGATGTATCCTGGCTGCTTCTAACAACTTATACTAATATGCATAAGCAAATAAATTACCTAAAACTCAAAACATATTTAAAAGGGAAGCAGAAAGTAAAAGCTTGGAAAATTTGCAGCCTGGTGATGTGGAAAAAAAAAAAAAAAGCCCATTTTCAAGGGAGGAATTCAAGCAGGCTGCAGAAATTTGCATAAGTAGAAAGGAGTCAAGTGCTGATAGCGAAGACAATGGGAAAAAGGCCTCTGAGGCATTTTAGAGACCTTCAAGGCCTCCCCCTACTCCATCACAGGCCCAGAGGCCTAAGAGGGAAATAGGTTTTGTGGGTCAGGCCCAGGGCCCTGCCATCTTGAACAGACTTGGGACACTGCTCACTGTGTCCCAGCCACTCCAGCTCCAGCCATAGGTCAAAGGGGGCCAGGTACAGCTTGGGCTGCTGCTTCAGAGGGTACAAGCCATAAGCCTGGTGGCTTCCACGTGGTGTTAACCTGCAAATATGCAGAGTGCAAGAGTTGAGGCTAGGGAGCCTTCATCTAGATTTCAGGGGATGTATGGAAAAGCATGACTGTCCAGGCAGAAGCCTGCTGCAGGGGTGGTTCCCTCATGGAGAACCTCTAGTTGGGCAGTATCAAGGGGAAATGTGGGGCTGAGGGCCCCACACAGAGTTCCCACTGGGGCACTGCCTAGAGGAGCTGTGAGAAGAGGGCCACCATCCTCTAAAACCCAGAATGGTAGATCCACTGACAGCTTGAGCCATGTCCCTGGAAAAGCCACAAGCAGTCAACACCAGCCCATAAAAGCAGCTGTCGGGCTGACCCCTGAAAAGCCACAGGAGCAGGGCTGCCCAAGGCCTTGGGAACCCACCCCTTGAACCAGTGGGCTCTGGATGTGAGACATGGAGTCAAAGGAGATTATTTTGGAGCTTTAAAATTTAATGACTGTCTGATGGGTTTCAGACTTCTGTGGAGCCTGTAGCCCCTTTCTTTTGGCTGATTTCTCCCTTTTGGAATGGGAATATTTACCCAATGCTTGTACCCCCATTGTATCTTGGGAGTAACTGACTTGTTTTTATTTTACAGGCTCACAGGTGGAAGGGATTAGCCTTGTCTCAGATGAGACTTTGGACTTTTGATTTAATGTTGAATTAAGAATTTGGGGATTGTTGGGAAGGCATTATTGTATTTTTCAGTGTGAGAAGGACATGAGATTTGAGAGGGGCCAGAGGCGGAATGTTATGGTTTGGATCTGTGTTTCCACCCAAATCTCATGTTCTATTGTCATTCCCATTGTTGGAGGCAGAGCCTGGTGGGAGGTGATTGGATCACGGGGGTGGATCCTTCATGAATGGTTTAGCACCATCCCCTTTGTGCTGTCTCATGATAGAGTTCTAGTGAGATCTTGTTATTTAAAAGTATGTGGCACCACCCGCCTTTCTCTGTCTTCCTCCTGCTCAGGCCATAGGAGGTGCCACCTCCCCCTTCACCTTCCACCAAGATTGTAAGTTTCCCAAGGCCTCCCCAGAAGCCAAGCACATGCTGCCTTGCTTCCTGTACAACCTGAAGAACTGTGAGCCAATTAAACCTCTTTTCTTTATAAATTACCCTGTCTCAGGTATTTCTTTATAGCAGTATGAGAACAAATGAATACACAACCCTAGCAAAGGTAGTAGCATATAATGTGTTTGAGTAGAAGGAATATATATGCACACAGAGCACAAAACACACCAGTCTATGATCTTGGACCACTAAGCCTGAGATAAAATAGCCCTTTCAGATATTTTTACCATTTCGGTTCCATGAGAAAAGCGTATGAGGAGAATATATTACTGAAAAATGTCCAAAACTACTAAATTAATAAGGTAGTGCAACCATGAACTTAACTCATAGAAAATTAGGATAATACACCCTTTTAAATCAATTTTACTGTTTTTCTTTAACAATTACATGTATGAGATCAATCTTGATTAGATGATTGTAATAAAAATGGAATAGAACTTTACTCTTGAGGAAATTAATACATGTTACGATTTAAATATGCTTTAAATAAAACATAAATAGAAACAATTTTGTGTGGTATTTTATATCTTTTAGAAGGCATACTACTGATAATTATTTGTAGGCTTTTAGAGGAAAAAGTGGTGGTCTTAGAGACTATCTTGCCAAATGCTTCATTTTAGAGGTGAAAAAAATGAATGCCCCAAATTGTGTGAGTTAGTAGAAGAGTTAGGCCCAGAAATGACTCAGCAATGCTTACAACTCTGCTCTGTAATCTGCATTTAGCTCTGCACCCCATTAGTGGAAAAAAATTTAAGCATATACCTTCTATATATGTGTTTGTATGTTTATTTGTAACTTAATATATACATAATTAATATTATATGATTGGTGTAAAATATATACAAAAGTTGAAATGTAAAAGGGCATTTACAGGGCTTCCAATTCTGGATATCATGGAATAGATGTATTTCTCCTCATTCCTCCTGCTAAGTATAGCTAAAAACTCTGGACATAATAGAAATACAGGGGACTCTGAAAGGTGAAGAGAAGAAGAAAGACTGACTAGAGATCTTGACACCCAGAGAATAACATAGAAGTGTATTCCCTGTGTTTTCTTCTTGCCTCATATATCTTAGATGGGTGCTGGAGAACGCTGCAACCTGGAAACACCAACAGATGCAAACAAAGGAGTGCTAAGAAAATCCTGCTTTCTCTGATTTCTCTAGGACAGGAAGGGGCAGCCAAACAGGCAAAAACTTTGAGAGAGTAACTTCAACCTCACACCATGGAAAAAACTGTGACCCAAAGCCCCAGAGGGAAGACTATACTTCAACCCTCATCACCCCTCAATAAGAGAAAACCCTCCCTGCCCCAGGCACACACATACAATACCCATCACCCTGCCCCTGGAGCAGTATCATTGAAAGACTATTAGCCAGTCTGGACTTTGAGTTCTGCCAGGTATCAGCAATCTCCTATCAGTAGAGAGCACTTGGTAAACCCAGACTTTCAACCCCTCTCAGCCATAATAAGGCATTCCATCCCCTACTACTGAAGTGAAGTCAGCAGAGGCCTAGTGAGGAGCCTGAAATTCCATACCATCCAGCAATGAATTGCACCTCCCTATTAAAATGGCAATGGAAACTGAGTGGGGAATTGGACTTCCCCCACAACCTGGCAGTAATAAGATTGTACCTGCCATACTCTTCTGGCACAGTGTCAAGGGAGCCTTGCTAAAACAAAAGATGCAAATAAAACCCTAGTTATCCTAAAATAATATCAAAAATGTCTAGAACACAATCAAAAGTACTGTCACAACAAGAACGAGGAAATCCTAACATGAATGAGAAAAGATAATCAACAGACACCACTACCTAGATGTCAAAGATGTTGATATTATCCGACAATTAATTTAACTCGGACATTATAAAAAGACTTCAATAAACAATTAGAAATATGTTTGAAACAGATGAAAAAATAGACTCAAAAAGAAACAGAAAGCTTTAGCAAAAAAAAGGAATTTTAGCAAAAAAAAAAAAGAAAATTTCACAACTGAAAAAATAATAACTGAATATCCAGTAAAAATCTCACCAAATTGACTCAACAGACTAAAAAAGACAAAAGAATCTATGGACTTGAAGATAGAACAATGGAAGTCACCAGTCTGAACAAGAGAAAAACTAGACTGAAACAAACAGACAAAAAAATGGACAGAGCTTAAGGTCTCATTGAGATGATAAAAAGGTTTGCCATTCATGATAGTAGAGTCCCACAGAGAAGAAAGAGGGCATATTCAAACAAATAATAGCTAAAAATTTCTAAAATTTGACAAAAGACATAAACCTACAAATTCAAGTAGTTGAACAAACCATGACAGGATAAACCAAAGACATTCTGTACCAAGTTACATCAGAATCAAACTTCTGAAAACTAAAGGAAAATATCTTAAAAAGAGTGAGAAAGAAATAACACCTCGCCTGTAGAAGAAAAATAATTCCACTGAAAGTGTGTTTCTCATGAGAATCCATGAAGGCTAGAAGGAAGCTGCACAATATTGTTCAATGTAGAAGGAAAAAAAAATCTCTCAACCCAAAATTCTATATCCAGTGAAAATATCCTTTAGGAATAAAGGAAAAATCAAGACATTCTCAGTTGGAAGAAAACTAAACAGAATTTGTTCTCTAGATGACCTACCCTAAAAGAATAGCTAAAGGAAATTATTGAAACAGAAAATAATAAAAGAAGGGAACTTGGAACATAAATAAGGAAGCAATAACAATAGAAAAAGTAAATACATAGGCAAATACAATAAACTTTCTGCTCTTGAATTTTTAAAATAAGATTTGATGGTTGAAAGACAATTGTAACATTCTTGTTATGATGTGGTTCTCAATCTATGTAGAGAAAATAGTTTAGGCAGTTTTGTTATCAACAGGGGAGACAAGGGGACTTAAGGGGAGGTAAGGTTTCTATGCTTTATTCAAATGGATAAAAATTTGTTACCAGAATACTATAATAAGTTATATATGTATAATATAAAATCTAAAGCAACCATTAAAAAACTATACAAATATACAATAAAGTATATTACAGGCAAATTAGAATTACTTTTTTTTTTTTTTTTTTTTGAGACGGAGTCTTGCTCTGTCGCCCAGGCTGGACTGCGGACTGCAGTGGCGCAATCTCGGCTCACTGCAAGCTCTGCTTCCCGGGTTCACGCCATTCTCCTGCCTCAGCCTCCCGAGTAGCTGGGACTACAGGCGCCCGCCACCGCGCCCGGCTAATTTTTTGTATTTTTAGTAGAGACGGGGTTTCACCTTGTTAGCCAGGATGGTCTCGATCTCCTGACCTCATGATCCACCCGCCTTGGCCTCCCAAAGTGCTGGGATTACAGTAGAATTACTTTTTAAAATGCTCAAATAACACATAAGAAAGCAGAAAAAAATAGAAAAGGAAAACAGAGGGGATTAACAGAAAGCAAAATATAAAATAGTAGACATTAAGTCCTAATATATTAATAATTACATTAAATATACATGGTCTAAATATATTAATTAAAAGACAGAGATTATCAGAGTGGATTAAAATTATTACCTAATATAGGTTAACTCTAAGAAATGCATTTCACATATAAAAATATAGGAAAATTGAAAGTAAAGCAATAGAAAAAGAGATACCATGCAAACATTAATGAAAAGAAAAGAGGAATGTTTATGTTAATATTAGATAAATTCGACTTCAGACTGAAAAAAGTTACCAGGGACAAAGGAGAATATTAAATAACCAATGAAAGGGTCAGCCCACCAAGAAGACATAGCAATTGTAATTGTATATGTCCCAAACAGCAGAACTACAAAATAAATGAACAAAAAGAAGAAAAGAATCTGAAAGACACGAAAGAAGAAATAGACAAACTCACACTTACAGTTGTAGATGTCAGTATCCCTCTCTTAATAATTAATAGAATAACTAGACAGAAAATCAGCAAGTATATAAAAAAATCAATACCATCAACCAACAACATCAAATTCACACTCATAGAACACTAACTTTATCCAACAACAGCAGAATAAACATTCTTTTCAAATATTCATACAGCATTTACCAAGATATATCATATCCTGGGCCATAAAACAAATGTCAACAAACATAAAAGAATTAAACTCATACAATGTATTCTCTGATACGATGAAATCAAACTGTAAATTAATTACAAAACAGTAACAAGAAAACCTAAAAACACTTGGAAGCTAAACAATACACTACTTTTTTGGGGGGGCAGGGGGTTGGGGAGACGAGGTTTCGCTCTTGTTGCCCAGGCTGGAGTGCAATGGCGTGATCTCAGCTCACTGCAACCTCTGCCTCCCAGGTTCAAGCGATTCTCCTACCTCAGCCTCCCAAGTAGCTGGGATTACAGGTGCACACCACCACGTCAGGCTAATTTTTTGTATTTTTAGTAGAGATGGGGTTTCACCATGTTAGCCAGACTGGTCTTGAACTCCAGACCTCAGGTGATCTGCCTGCCTCCACCTCACAAAGTGCTGGGATTACAGGCGTGAGCCACCATGCCTGGCCTAAAACAGCACACTTTTAAATAAACAATGAACCCAAAAGGAAGTCTTGGGGAAATAAATATATTGAATCAAATGAAAATAAAAATATAACATATAAAAATTTGTGGGATGCAGCTAAAGGAATGGTGAGAGGGAAATTTATTGCACTAAAGGCATATATTAGAGAAAAGAGAAATATCAAATCAATAATCTAAGATTCCACATCAAAAAACAAGAGGAAAATAAACCCAAAGCAAGCAGAAGGAAAGAAATAATAAAGAGCAGAAAGTAAAGTTGAAAATAAAAAGTAGAGAAAATCAATGAAATAAAAATGGGCTCTTTTAAAAGTTCAATAAAATTGACAAACCTCTCGCAAGGATGACAAAGAAAAAGAGAAAAGACACAAATTTTTGATATCAGGAATGAAGCAAGGAATATCACTACAGACCCTGAAGATGCCAAAATGATAATAAGAAGACACCATAAAGAGCTCTATAAATATAAATTTGACAACTCAGATGAAAAGGAGCAATTTTTTGAAAAGCACATATACCCCAACTTACCCAATATAAACTATGTAACTGAATAGCCCTATAACTACTAAGGACATTAAATCTATAATTTAATAACATTCTTAGACATGACACCAAAAGCATGATTCATAACAGTAAATACAACCTCATAAAATTAAAAGTGTTATTAAGGAAAATACCTTGCTAAACAAGGATGGAAAGACAAATTATAGCCTGGGAAAAAACATTGACAAACCACATCTCTGATAAAGGACACAAATATAGAACACAATTTTCTTTTTAGAAAAAAAAAAAACTCTTAAATTTAACAGTAAAGAACCAATCCAATAAGGAAATGGGCAACCAGACATGAAAAGATATCTCCTAAAATGAATAAATAGGTGGCAAAGAAACACGTGAAAGATGTTTCAACATCACTAGCGATTAGAACATGCAAATAAAGAACAGAATGAGTTATCACTACACAACGATCAGAATGGCTATAACAAAAAATTAGTGACAAATGCTAGCAAGGATGGTGGAAATGTAAAATGCCACATTCACTCTGGAAAATATTTTGGTAGTATCTTTAAAAAAACTAAATACATATTTACCATTCAACCCAGCAAACTTCTGCCTGGACACTTATCCCCCAAAAATGAGAACATACATGAATGTCCATAGCAACTTTATTTTAATAGACCCAAATTAAAAACAATTCTAATTTCCTTCAATAGGTGGACAGCTAAACAGACTCTGGTAAATCTGTACCATGTAATACTATTCATTAATAAAAAGCAACAAGTTATTAATACATGCAGCAAATTTCTGAGTTTGTTAACATATTTTTCAACATGAGAAACTTGGTTCCCATCACTCTCAATATTTTTACTTATTTGCTCAGTTTACTTACTCTTTCAACGTAACCAATCTCTTAGCAAGACTGGCTGTGTCCTTCACTTCTGTTTCCGAAAGTGCCACCAGAAGAACTTTCTTCTGCAATTCTTCTAGAGAAGTTTTGCTAGCTACATTTGAATTATCTTAGTCTTCTTTCACCTGAGACTGTTTTAATTTTACCTTAATTCCCAACGAGTATTTTCACTAGATATAGGATTCTAGCTTGACAGGTGAGACAGTGTAAGTCAGTGCTCCAATTCTGTGTGGTTGGTGTCAGTGGAACCCAGCAAGAAGCTGAGCATAAACACCCACCCAGCCCTCAGGCTACAGCTCACTGGGGGATTGCCCTCTAAACAAAAGGATAGTAAAAGGGTCCAGAGTCTCATAATATAGTGTCCAAAATATCCAGGAAACAATAGAAAAATCACTTGTCATACCAGGAGCCAGGAAAATCACAACATGAGTGAGAAAAAACAGCCAATGGATTCCAAAATGGAGAAGAATCAGACGTTGGAATTAATTGACAAGAATTTTAAAGCAAACATTATAAAAAGTCTCAATAAGCCATTAAAAATTTTTTTGGGATAAATGAAAAAATAGAAAATCAGAAAATAAATAAAAGTTCTGTTAAAAAAAAACAACCAAATGGAGATTATAGAACTGAAAAACAAAATAACAGAAAAAATAACTAACTTTATGGGCCCAATAGTAGAGTGGAAACGACCAAACATAGAATCAGTAAATTGAGGACAGATCAATAGAATTTATACAATATGAAAAACAAAGGAAAATATACTTTCAAAACTGAACAAAGTTTCAGGCTAATGGTACAATATTAAGAGCTACTGTTTGTTTCACTAGAGTTGGAAAAAGGGAAGAGAAAAATGAGACCAAAACAGTATTCAAAGAAAAAATGGCTGAAAATGTCCCAAACTTGGTAAAACACATAAACCTACAGATTTAAGAAGCTTATCCCACAGAAGTGAAACCCAAATAGAATAAACCTCAAAAATTTCATACCAAGATATGTTATAATTAAACTTCTGAAATGTAAAGGAAAAGAATGTAACCAGAGGGAATCAATGATAGGGGAAAAACAATTCAAACAATAGATTTTTCATCAGAAACCTCAGAGGCCAGAAAGAAGCAGCACATTTTAAAATAACTGAAAGAAAATAGTGGTCAATTGAGAATTCTTATCTGGTGAAAATATCATTCAGTAATGAAGAGGGAATAGGGACATTCTCAGAAAAAATAAAACTAATAGAATTCATTTCCAAAGAATCTGCCCTTGAAGGGTGGGCAAAAGGAGTTCTCTAAAGAGAAAGGAAATTGTAACAGAAGAAGACTCAAAACCTCAGAAAAGAAAGAACTTCCAAAAAGAAAGAATGTATAAAAATAAGGGTCAATATAATAGACTATATTACTTCTCATAAGTTTCTTAAATCATATCTTATGGTTGAGACAAAAACTATAATACTATCTGATGTAGCACTTGATGTATATAAAGGAAATACTTAAGGCAACTATATTTTAAGAGCAGGAAGGGAGGGTAAAAGATCCTAAATGAAACTGAGTATTCTACACATCTCTTAAACTGGTAAAATGTCAATTACAGTAGATTATGATAACTTCTATGTGCATATTGTATTACCTAGAGCAGTAACTAAGAAATTATACAAAACAATAAACACTCTAAGTAATAAACACTCTAAATAAATAGAGATGGAGTACTATACTTTTTGTCAGAAGGGACAGCAATCTCACCTTACAAAGGAACATGCATACTAACATGGAGAGAACTATGACCATATTTTGCAATTTTCACAATTATCAAACAAGTTATCATTGTGGGTGACTAGAATTTAATCTGGAAAAAACATGCTTCTGAGATTTATTCCACCATAGGGATGAAGGAACTGTGGTGTTTTTACATTAACTCTTATCATTTATTAATTGAGGGCTGCTCCCAACTGGATGTTAATTCTGGCATTACTTCTTAGGCAAATTCAGCATGCTTTGTGTTCAGGCAGAGTAGCCTCTAATGTTGAGAGAAAGCCCACAGGGAAGAGATGCAGATATTGACACTTGGAAGTTGGATGGTGATATGGTTTGGCTCTGTGTCGCCACAAAAATCTCATCTTAAATTGTAATCCCCAGGCGCTGAGGGAGGGACCTGGTGGGAGGTGATTGGTTCATGGGGGCAGTTTCCCCCATGCTGTTCTATTGACAGTGAGTTTTCACAAGATCTGATGGTTTAAAAGTGTTTGGCAGTCCCCTCCCCACTCCCACCACCCTCCTGCTACCATGTAAGACTTGCCTTTGCTTCCCCTTCCCCTTCTGCCATGATTGTTAGTTTCCTGAGGCCTTCCAAACCATGGAGAATTGTGAGTCAATTAAACCTCTTTTCTTTGTAAATCACCCAGTCTTGGGTAGTTCTTTATAGCAGTGTGAAAATAGAGTAATACAGATGGTATACATAGAAATGGTGAAACCCAAGAGAATATAGGGAGTGGGAGTGCTGACAGCATCTGCTTCAGTAGGTTTTTGGTTTTATAAGTGATGGTGGTGGTGGTGGTGCAATTTACTGAGGTAACAAGCACAAGAAGACAAAGGTTGGAAGGGAAGTATTAGAATCTGAGTATGTTGAACTTATGCTTTTAACACATTTGATTAGCTACATAGTTCTGAAGAAGAAAGAAAAGAGGATCCAGTCCTGAACCTTAAGGAAATTCTTTTCTAAATTAAATCTTAAGGTTTGTTTATTTGTTTATTTAATTTTTTGAGACAGAGTCTCGCTCTATTGCCCAGGCTGGAATGCAGTGGCGCCATCTCGGCTCACTGCAAGGTCCGCCTCCCGGGTTCATGCCATTCTCCTGTCTCAGCCTCCTGAGTAGCTGGGACTACAGGCTCCTGCCACCACGCCCGGCTAATTTTTTTCTACTTTTAGTAGAGACAGGTTTCACCGTGTTAGCCAGGATGGTCTTGATCTCCTGACCTCGTGATCCGCCTGCTTCAGCCTCCCAAAGTGCTGGGATTACAGGTATGAACCACCGCGCCCAGCCCTTAAGGTTTCTTGTAAAGTTTTTTTGACATTAATTATTTGACATAATAATAATGTCAAAAAAAACTTTTTTTTTTTTGAGATGGAGTCTCACTCTGTTGCCCAAGCTGGAGTGCAGTGGTGCAATCTCGGCTCACTGCAACCTCTGCCTCCCAGGTTCAAGCAATTTTCCTGCCTCAGCCTACCGAGTAGCTGGGATTACAGGTGTGCGCCATCATGCCCAACTAGTTTTTGTATTTTTAGTAGAGACAGGTTTTTGCCATATTGGCCAAGCTGGTCTCGAACTCCTGACCTCAAGTGATCCTCCCACCTCAGCCTCCCAAAGTGCTGGGAGTACAGGCGTGAGCCACTGCACCCAGCCCTGTTATGTTCTAATGAATAAAAGGACTGCTATGTTCAGCTTTCTCCATTTATGAACAATATATATTAAAAAAATATATGCATATGTGTGTGCACACACATACAGATATAGTCTCTGTGGAATGTGTAGATTTTCCAGTCATGTTGAATTCCTTATAAATATGATCAAATAAGCCATGCTCAAAAAATACACACATCCTCTATTTATATTTTAATGAAGAACTGTACATCTTAAATTGATAACTCATACAAACAGATTGAAAATAATAATGATGAATTTGTTGATTCAGTTGCCACCTAGAAGTTTCCTTCAAATATAAAGTCTGAAAGATAAGAGTGATATAATCAAATGTCAATTATGTCTGTAGACTCTGTACTTGTAGGGATATTGTTTACAATATTACATCTTGACTCTAGATGTTTCTTAGTAAAATTATACTTATGGTTACCTTGCTAAAAGTATGATACCACTTATTTAAGAACCATTTCTATGTTACAAATATATGAGATAAAGGCAGATATAATTATTAAAATATTTCCACAAGTTTTATGAAATATTTTAAACACAATAGCCATATGTAGTATACATTTGTCATTTTTGGCTGCACATCTTTTGAAAACCCACCTGAATTTTTGTATTTACCACAAGATAAATTCTGTTTTCTCAAGATACAATTTTAAAACTGCATTTCCCAGCTTTTCTTGTGCCCAGAATTACAGGCAGGGACCAGTTTCCAATAATCATTTCCACCTACATTATGTCTTCAATTTGGAAGTGATCAAGTAGGGAAAAGCTCTGGCAGAGCACACATTTTTTTTTCTGGTGGCTGTGGAGTTGGCAGTGTCACAGGTAGCTTCTCCCTTGGGACTGTTTTCGAAGCAATTCAGAAATTGGCAATAGACTATGGGTATTGTTCTGGTGAGCTTACCCTGTTTATTACCCTAGCACAATCAATGAGTATACATGCTATCTAGTATCTTTAATAAATATCTATTCTGCTTAATCTGGGTGGAATGAATGGGTTTCCTTGCAACTAAGGTTGTTTAATAGAATAATTTGTATTAAAAGTGCAAGGAACCTTCAAGGAAATGAGTATCTGGGATTCATTATCTGGAAGGTTGGATTTGAAAGCTCTGAGAATACAATTCGTTCTAGAGAAAAGAGCACTGGTACCCATGGCATACTAAAATGAAACACTTGCTTATATTTATCATCTGTGCTCTTGGTCACCTGGAATAATGTTACTATAGAAGGCAAGGAAGTAGGGGAGTTTATGCTTACAAAAGTACAATGGACATGAAGCACGTAAGAGCTATAGGGTGACTTGGCTACTTCTAAATGTGCTTAAGCTTTGAAAGAAAGGAAAGAACACCTTAAAGTTTTAAATTCTCAGCTCAATGTAGTAAAAAAGCCAGGGCGATAACATGATTACCCTAAAATTAGCTCTCCTCTCTGCAGGACTGATGAAACTGAAAATTAAATGCACAGTCTAATGCTGTGGTTTCTCAATTACGTCAGATGAATTCTAACGGTACCATGACTCTTACTGAAAGTTAAGACACTTCCATGGAATTGTAATCGAGACAGATGGGAAAACCCTGAAAACTCAGAGTACTTTGAACACTCAAATTTACTAAACATCCCTTAGTAGAAGAAATAGCTTTTTCTCCAGGGTTTAATCGGTTGTTCCTGCTTCCCTGAAAACCATGTAAGCACGTTGCCTGAGGCAGTTACCTCAGGAGGTGGTATAACTTTCTTCACAACCCATTCCTGACACCTTGCAATGCCTTGGACCCATAGCTAGTGTCAGAGTCCAGAATGCTCCAAGAAGCTAGGGCAAAATTAAACCCAGGAAGAAAAGGCTTACCCACCAAAGGAAAAGAAAAGCAATGTTTTGCCAAGTTATATTAGCAACTACCTGCAGGAATATATGTGAGAAAGCATTTTAAGGTACGAAAGCAGTACAAATGAAATATAATGTATATGGAAGCAATACTTTAAATATGGGTCCAGAAAAAGGAAAATACATGATTTCTAAAAGCCATAAAAAACAGATACAAGCATCTTTGAAAAGTGTGCAGTATCTATTCCCTACAGGATGAAAACAAAGGTGGGAGATGCTGCCATTAATATGAGCCTCATTAGCAGCACTTAACCACGTTGTGATAATCTGAGTGGTTTGACACACACTTTGCCTTGCTGATTGATTAGGGGGTCCCTGGGTCTGAAAACGTTGTGTAACCATTAAGGTCCCACTTGATCTGTATAAGTAATACAAAAACAAATAAACAAACAACAACAGCAGCAGCAAGTAAGCCTAGAAAACAGACTCCAGGATTGTGCCTCCACGCCATGGCTCCGAGTCAATTCACAACACAGAGTTTCTTGAATGAAGAGTAGGCTGAGAATTCTTGAGGAGGAACCCATAACCAACCCACTCCTTGGATAATGGTATTAATTTATTGATGAAGGCAGAGCCCTTATGACATACTTACCTCTTAAAGGTCCTACCTCTTAATACTGTCACAATGGCAATTAAATTTCAACATAAGTTTTTGAGGGAACATTCCAACCATAACACCTGTAGACACCTGCTTTTTCTTTCTTGGTGATCATGTAAATGTCTATAGATTAACATTTCCCATGCCCTACCTTTTCTAATAATTATTATATTTTTCCATAGGTTAGAAAATATCCAGAAAAAATTGTGAATAAATCAGAGGAGAAATGGACATTACCCAGATGTCAGGCTTGAAGCTTCATAAAGTAACTGAAGAGAATTTGGAAAACAGTAAGCGTGTTTTAATTATAACTGATATTTATATTATACAAGGTTGGAACATAGTATTGTTGCTATGCTTTTGTAAATTTAATATGGTAGAAGAATATATAATGATTTTGTCAGCTAAAAGTTGGGCTGAGAGAGACATCACTCATTTATGTTTGCCTGTCAAATACATTTTGAACAACCACTTTGCATTTTTATATTTTGCCACACTCTAAATTCTACTTTCTCAAGGTTGATTTCATCTTAAAAACTCCCACATGTCCTAGAGAGTCTAGTAGCTAGGTTGTGGAAATGTGGCTATGGTTTCATCAGTCAGAAACATTCATGCAAGACAATGACTCAGAAGTGACCTATGTGCAAAACGTTTACGTATAGTAATTTTTTTCTTATTTTTTATTATTATACTTTAAGTTCTAAGGTACATGTGCACAACGTGCAGGTTTGTTACATATGTATACATGTGCCATGTAGGTGTGCTGCACCCATTAACTTGTCATTTATATTAGGTATATCTCCTAATGCTATCCCTCCACACTACCTCCACCCCACGACAGGCCCCATGGTGTGATGTTCCCCACCCTGTGTCTAAGTGTTCTCATTGTTCAATTTCCACCTATGAGTGAGAACATGCAATGTTTGGTTTCCCGTCCTTGCGATAGTTTGCTGAAAATGATAGTTTCCAGCTTCATCCATGTACTTACAGAGGACATGAACTCATGCTTTATTATGGCTGCATAGTATTCCATGGTGTATATGTGCCACATTTTCTTAATCCAGTCTATATTTGATGGACATTTGCATTGGTTCCAAGTCTTTGCTATTGTGAATAGTGCTGCAATAAACATACGTGTGCATGTGTCTTTATAGCAGCATGATTTATAATCCTTTGGGTATATACCCAGCAATGGGATGGCTGGGTCAAATGGTATTTCTAGTTCTAGATCCTTGAGGAATTGCCACATTGTCTTCCACAAGGGTTGAACTAGTTTACAGTCCCACCAACAGTGTAAAAGTGTTCCTATGTCTCCACATCCTCTCCAACACCTATTGTTTCCTGACTTCTTAATGATCGCCATTCTAACTGGTGTGAGATGGTATATCATTATGGTTTTGATTTGCATTTCTCTGATGGCCAGTGATGATGAGCATTTTTTCATGTGTCTGTTGGCTGCATAAATGTCTTCTTTTGAGAAGTGTCTGTTCATATCCTTTGCCCACTTTTTGATGGGGTTGTTTGCTTTTATCTTGTACATTTGTTTAAGTTCTTTGTAGATTCTGGATATTAGCCCTTTGTCAGATGAGTAGATTGCAAAAATCTTCTCCCATTCTGTAGGCTGCCTGTTCACTCTGACGGTAGTTTCTTTTGCTGTGCTGAAGCTCTTGAGTTTAATTAGATCCCGTTTGTCAATTTTGGCTTTTGTTGACATTGCTTTTGGTGTTTTAGTCATGAAGTCCGTGCCCATGCCTATGTCCTGAATGGTATTGCCTAGGTTTTCTTCTAGAGTTTTAATGGTTTTAGGTCTAACATTTAAGTCTTTTAATCCATATTGAATTAATTTTTGTATAAGGTGTAAGGAAGGGATCCAGTTTCAGCTTTTTACATATGGCTAGCCAGTTTTCCCAGCACCGTTTATTAAATAGGGAATCCTTTCCCCATTTCTTGTTTTTGTCAGGTTTGTCAAAGATCAGATGGTTGTAGATGTGTGGTATTATTTCTGAGGGCTCTGTTCTGTCCCATTGGTCTATATCTCTCTTTTGGTACCAGTACCGTGCTGTTTTGGTTACTGTAGCCTTGTAGTGTAGTTTGAAGTCAGGTAGTGTGATGCCTTCAGCTTTGTTCTTTTGGTTTAGGATTGTCTTGGCAATGCGGGCTCTTTTTTGGTTCCATATAAACTTTAAATTAGTTTTTTTCCAATTCTGTGAAGAAAGTCATTGGTAGCTTGATGGGATGGTATTGAATCTATAAATTACCTTGGGCAGTGTGGCCATTTTCATGATATTGATTCTTCCTATCCATGAGCATGGAATGTTCTTCCATTTGTTTTTGTCCTCTTTTATTTCGTTGAGCAGTGGTTTGTAGTTCTCCTTGAAGAGGTCCTTCACAACCCTTGTAAGTTGGATTCCTAAGTATTTTATTCCCTTTGTAGCAATTGTGAATGGGAGTTCACTCATGATTTGGCTCTCTGTTTATCCGTTATTGGTGTATAGGAATGTTTGTGATTTTTGCACATTGATTTTGTATCCTGAGACTTTGCTGAAGTTGCTTATCAGCTTAAGGAGATTTGGGGCTGAGGCAATGGGGATTTCTAAATACACAATCATGTCATCTGCAAACAGGGACAATTTGACTTCCTCTTTTCCTAATTTTATACCCTTTATTTCTTTCTCCTGCCTGATTGCTCTGGCCAGAATTTCCAACACTATGTTGAATAGGAGCGGTGAGAGAGGGCATTCCTGTTTTGTGCCAGTTTTCAAAGGGAACGCTTCCCGTTTTTGCCCATTCAGTATATTGGCTGTCGGTTTCTCATAAATAGCTCTTTTTATTTTGAGATATGTCCCATCAATACCTAGTTTATTGAGAGTTTTTAGTATGAAGGACTGTTGAATTTTGTCAATGGCCTTTTCTGCATCTATTGAGATAATCAAGTGGTTTTTGTCTTTGGTTCTGTTTATATGATGGATTACGTTTATTGATTTGTGTATGTTGAACCAGCCTTGCGTCCCAGGGATGAAGCCCACTTGATCATGGTGGATAAGCTTTTTGATATGCTGCTGGATTTGGTTTGTCAGTATTTTATTGAGGATTTTTGCATCGATGTTCATCAGTGATATTGGTCTAAAATTCTCTTTTTTTGTTGTCTCTCTGCCAGATTTGGTATCAGGATGATGCTGGTCTCATAAAATGAGTTAGGGAGGAGTCCTTCTTTTTCTATTGATTGGAATAGTTTCAGAAGGAATGGTACCAGCTCCTCTTTGTACCTCTGGTAGAATTCGGCTGTGAATCCGTCCGGTCCTGGACTTTTTTTGGTTGGTATGCTATTAATTATTGCCTCAATTTCAGAGCCTGTTATTGGTCTATTCAGGGATTCAACTTCTTCCTGGTTTAGTCTTGGGAGGTTTATGTGTCCAGGAATTTATCCATTTCTTCTAGATTTTCTAGTTTATTCGCATAGAAGTGTTTATATTATTCTCTCATGGTAGTTTGTATTTCTGTGGGATTGGTGGTGATATCCCCTTTATCATTTTTTATTGTGTCTATTTGATTCTTCTCTCTTTTCTCCTTTATTAATCTTGCTAGCAGTCTATCAATTTTGTTGATAGTTTCAAAAACCAGCTCTTGGATTCATTGATTTTTTGAAGGATTTTTTGTGTCTCTATCTCCTTCAGTTCTGCTCTGATGTTAGTTATTTCTTGCCTTCTGCTAGCTTTTGAGTGTGTTTGCTCTTGCTTCCCTAGTTCTTTTAATTGTGATGTTAGGGTGTCGATTATGCATCTTACCTGCTTTCTCTTGTGGGCATTTAGTGCTATAAATTTCCCCCTACACGCTGCTTTAAATGTGTCCCAGAGATTCTGGTATGTTGTGTCTTTGTTCTCATTGGTTTCAAAGAACATCTTTATTTCTGCCTTCATTTCGTTATGTACCCAGTAGTCATTCAGTAGCAGGTTGTTCAGTTTCTGTGTAGTTGAGAGGTTTTGAGTGAGTTTCTTAATCCTGAGTTCTAATTTGATTGCACTGTGGTCTGAGAGACAGTTTGTTATAATTTCTGTTCTTTTACATTTGCTGAGGAGTGCTTTACTTCCAACCATGTGGTCAATTTTGGAATAAGTGTGATGTGGTGCTGAGAAGAATGTATATTCTGTTGATTTGGGGTGGAGAGTTCTGTAGATGTCTATTAGGTCCGCTTGGTGCAGAGCTGAGTTCAAGTCCTGAATATCCTTGTTAACTTTGTGTCTCGTTGATCTGTCTAATGTTGACAGTGGGGTGTTAAAGTCCCCCATTCTTATTGTGTGGGAGTCTAAGTCTCTTCGTGGGTCTCTAAGGACTTGCTTTATGAATCTGGGTGCTCCTGTATTGGGTGCATATATATTTAGGATAGTTAGCTCTTCTTGTTGAATTGATCCCTTTACCATTATGCAATGGCCTTCTTTGTCTCTTTTGATCTTTGTTGGTTTAACGTCTGTTTTATCAGAGACTAGGATTGCAACCCCTGCTTTTCTTTGTTTTCCGTTTGCTTGGTCAATATTCCTCCATCCCTTTATTTTGAGCCTATGTGTGTCTCTGCACATGAGATGGGTTTCCTGAATAGAGCACACTGATGGGTCTTGACTTTTTATCCAATTTGCCAGTCTGTGTCTTTTAATTGGAGCATTTAGCCCATTTACATTTAAGGTTAATATTGTTATGTGTGAATTTGATCCTGTCATTATGATGTTAGCTGGTTATTTTGCTCATTAGTTGATGCAGTTTCTTCCTAGCATCAATGGTCTTTACAATTTGGCATGTTTTTGCAGTGGCTGGTACCAGTTCTTCCTTTCCCTGTTTAGTGCTTCCTTCAGGAGCTCTTGTAAGGCAGGCCTGGTGGTGACAAAATCCCTCAGCATTTGCTTGTCTGTAAAGGATTTTATTTCTCCTTTACTTCTGAAGATTAGTTTGGCTGGATATGAAATTCTGGGTTGAAAATTCTTTTCCTAAGAATGTTGAATATTGGCCCCCACTCACTTCTGGCTTGTAGAGTTTCTGCTGAGGGATCTGCTATTAGTCTGATGTGCTTCCCTTTGTGGGTAACCTGACCTTTCTCTCTGGCTGCCCTTAACATTTTTTCCTTCATTTCAACTTTGGTGAATCTGACAATTATGTGTCTTGGAGTTGCTCTTCTTGAGGAGTATCTTTATGGCGTTCTCTGTATTTCCTGAATTTGAATGTTGGCCTGCCTTGCTAGGTTGGGGAAGTTCTCCTGGATAATATCCTGAAGAGTGTTTTCCAACTTGGTTCCATTCTCCCCATCAATTTCAGGTACACCGATCAGACATAGATTTAGTCTTTTCACGTAGTCCCATATTTCTTGGAGGCTTTGTTCATTTCTTTTTACTCTTTTTTCTATAAAATTCTCTTCTTGCTTCATTTCATTCATTTGATCTTCAATCACTGATACCCTTTCTTCCACTTGATCGCATTCGCTCCTGAAGCTCATGCATGCATCACATAGTTCTCGTGCTATGGTTTTCAGCTCCATCAGGTCATTTAAGGTCTTCTCTGCACTGTTTATTCAGTTAGCCATTCTTTTAATCTTTTTTCAAGGTTTTTAGCTTCTTTGTGATGGGTTCAAACATCCTCCTTTAGCTTGGAGAAGTTTGTTATTACCAATCATCTGAAGCCTACTTCTGTCAACTTGTCAAAGTCATTCTCCGTCCAGCTTTGTTCTGTTGCTGGCAAGGAGCTGCGTTCCTTTGGAGGAGAAGAGGCACTCTGATTTTTAGAACTCTGATTTTTAGAATTTTCAGCTTTTCTGCTCTGGTTTCTCCCCATCTTTGTGGTTTTATCTACCTTTGGTCTTTGATGATGGTGCCATACAGATGGGGTTTTGGTGTGGATGTCCTTTGTATTTGTTGGTTTTCCTTCTAACAGTCAGGACCCTCAGCTGCAGGTCTTTTGGAGTTTGCTGGAGGTCCACTACAGACCATGTTTGCCTGGGTATCATCAGCGGAGGCTGCAGAATAGTAAATATTGCAGAACAGCAAATGTTGCTGCCTGATCCTTCCTCTGGAAGCTTCGTCTCAGAGGGGCACTCCCCGTATGAGGTGTCAGTCGGCACCTACTCTCCCAGTTAGGCTACTCACTTGAGGAGGCAGTCTGTCCGTTCTCAGATCTCAAACTCCGTGCCGGGAGAACCACTACTCTCTTCAAAGTTGTCAGACAGGGACATTTAAGTCTGCAGAAGTTTCTGCTGCCTTTTGTTCAGCTATGCCCTGCCCCTAGAGGTGGGGTCTACAGATGCAGGCAGGCCTCCTTGAGCTACAGTGGGCTCAACCCAGTTCAAGCTTCCTGGCTGCTTTGTTTACCTACTCAAGCCTCAGCAACAGCAGACACCCCTCCCCCAGCCTTGCTGCCACCTTGCAGTTCAATCTCAGACTGCTGTGCTAGCACTGAGCGAGGCTCCATGGGTGTGGGACCCTCCAAGACAGGCGCAGAATATAATATCCTGGTGTGCTGTTTGCTAAGACTGTTGGAAAAGTGCAGTACTAGGATGGGAGTGTCCCCATTTTCCAGGTACCATCTGTCATGGCTTCCCTTGGCTAGGAAAGGGAATTCCCTGATGCCTTGTGCTTCCTGGGTGAGGTGATGCCCCACCCTGCTTCAGCTCACGCTCCATGGGCTGCACCCACTTTCCAACAATCACCAGTGAGATGAACCCAGTACCTCCCTCGGAAATGCAGAAATCACCCATCTTCTGTATCGTTCATGCTGGAGCTGTGGACTGGAGCAGTTCCTATTCGGCCATCTTGGAACCAGTCCATATAGTAATTTTTTATCCTAATGCAGGCAGTGCTATCATTCTAGAGACATTGCTGATAGATTTCTCATCAGGCCAATTTTATGATGTGTTTCTGTTCTTTGTTTCTGGAATCTTATATGATTTCTTTGCTTCTCCATCTTTACTTCTTTTTCTATATACTAGCCAGAGTGGATTTTCTTGTTTACAATTAAGAATTTTTATCGTTATCTTATAAAATAAATATGTTTGAAGCTAGTTTTCAAGAGCATGTGGTATTGGAGCAGAGAAACCTTTTAAAACATCTCTTTTGACTTTTACATAGCATTCTCTAATTTCTCTAATTGCTAATCTTATTTCTGAGAACAAAAATGAGATATCAGAGATGTCCACAACTTTCTTACTTTAGCCTTTTTTGGAGGACAAATAAGATGAGACGACTCCCTTTCATTCTTGGTCTTTGCTTATTTCTAAATAAATATTAGACTACAGTTTGCAAGTATCATTAGGATAATCATCACCACCCTTAGCCCTCTGTACTATTAGGTAAAAAGAATAGAAGCAGCAAAAACATTGCAGAAAAGGCAAACAAATTGAAAATAACAATTTAGGAAAACTTTTGGAAGTTAACTTAGAGTGATCATAAACTCAGGTTATAAGATCACAGAATAAATAAAATAGAAGGTAAGGGAAGTGCTTTAGGGAATAGAGAAAGTTGACTGACCCACTCTGGTGGATTAAAGGTGGCAACAGATTCTTTGATAGTTGTCTCATTGCTTAAACCAGTAAGTTATAGTGGAAGTGATGCTGTGCCAGATCTGAGTCTCACCTTTAAGAGGACTCTTCATGTCCATTCCCCTACTTTTTGGACCCATGAGCTACTTTTAAGAAGTCTGATCGCCTGTGGCTATGGGGAAGCCCACAATAGTCACAATTGCCATGGGTTGAGAGAGAGGGGAAGAGAAGGAGAGACAGAGATTGTAGGCCAGTCTCTAGCTGAGCCAGCCTCAGCCATTAGAGTCATCCAAGATGACTCTAGACATTGTGGAGGTGAGAGAAGCCATCCTGTCTGTGCCTGTCCAAAGTTCTGGTCCACAGAATCATGAGATAAAATAATAATATTATTGTTGTTGTTTTTAGCCACCAAGTCTTGGAGTAGCTTGTGCGGCAGTGGATAACCAGAATACAATACCATCTTCATTTATTTCTTCATTAATGTATATACAGTGAATACTATTTGGTATACCAGTCTCTGGGGTTAAAGTATATTGGAATAAGTTTCTCTTAAACTAGGTTCTTTAATATTCCCATTTTTAGAGGAGGAAAAATGCTTTAAAAGCCACAGGAGTTGATTGGAAATTATAATAGAAAAAGGTGAATAAGGTGAGAAATTTAGAGTTGGAGGAAGAGAAAGTTAAGAGAGGAACAAATCAAGGGGTTACTTTAGTGATTTGCAGGGAGTTTTTCCCCCAGAAAGTCAAGCAAGAAGGGGTGCTAGTGACTCAAGAGGCATAGAAAGACTGGCTTTTAGTCCAAAAGACACAATAGGCACTGAGCAGAGGATGATGGCAATGGTAGAATGAATCATGAGGTTCATAACCAGGAGACTTAAAGCAAAAAAAATAAACAACCAAACAGCAATGGGTGAAGAGTTCCCTGCAAAGGCTAATCTATAAATAAGCACTGTGATCTTTCCTGGTCTGATAACAAATCTCATTATGAATAAAAATACAAATGCAGGTCAACAATTCCAGATGTGTTTGAGAATTAAAATTTTTTTGAAATTTAGAAACCAACATACACATAACTATGTATTTAAAATCTTCGTCTGGGTTTAACGCCACACTGTAATGAAACATTCCTTTTTTTTGTTTTGTGGCAAAATGTATAAAAATAATGGATAATGGTATAATTAGCTGCACATCAGTTCAAGTTGTGTTTTGCTACCAAATGAGTGCAGTTCGGGTTTGATTCTGGCACTTTGTGAGTCATGAAAAGTTTTCAGTTTTAAGAGCTTCTTGAATTTTATAAATGTGGACAAAGGATTGTTGATCTGTATTAAATTGATTGTGGCTGAAGATATATGACATCTATGAGAAAATATACTTTCACTTGGGAAAAAACTATTGTACCTAATTTAGGAAATAAACTGAATGTTAACTTTAATGACTGATTATTATGCTGAAACAAAATCTAAAATTATTTCTATCGAGTATTAAAATCATACATATAAAAATTATTTCTAGACTTCAGCTGTCTTTCAAGTGTTATTGAAAAACAACAAAAAATTTAAGGCAACAAAATAATTTAGACCATTCCAAATAGTTTACTATAATAGAAGTTGGACTCTAATACTTTTGGACTAAATAAGATAAACCAAAGAAAGGAGAGAAAGCTACGGTATAGTAAATGGACTTCTATTATTGTGAAAGTAAAAATAGTAATAAATGTTATATTTGCTTATCAATTTCAACTTTTAAAAACGTTTCAGATGGTAATGTAGAATGATTCTCATTCTATTGCAAACTTTTGATACTTCACAAAAGTATTAAGTACAATATTTGTCAGTTTTCTTTAGAGAAACAGCATACACACACATACACACACACACATCTCCAATAGAAATATAAATAAATAGAATGAATAGTATTTATATATTATCTCACATATATGTATATGAGATTTATTAATATCCTGTGACCTGGTCAACTTGGCATATAAAATTAACCATATCAGTACTATACTATAGTTCTTAGTCCTATGATAGAACTGTGAGAAATACAAAACAAATGTATGTCATGGACCCTGCTTCTTAATACATTGAAATATTTAGATAATATTACAGAAGTGTTATGTACATAAATGTTAAATGAACAAAATCAAGAGCCAGCCTATTGGGGCATTGGGCAGAGACAGCCTCACCTTCCCCTTTCAGATAAAGAAGTAAACTTGTACACAAAGCTATCTAACACACTATTATAAAAATCAATTTCCTTCTCATCTGGCTGGGCCCCTGTTCACTCCCCTATCCTGCCGGCAGGGAAGTCTTTGAACGGTGACTCAAGAAGTAAGTCAAAGGACTAATTGGGGGAATTCTTATCTCTGTCAATGTCTAAAGAAGGACATTGAGAACAAGGGATTCAGTGGGTTTAGAGTTCCCATTAGTATAATTTTTCAGACCAGAATATCCTCTGGAATGAAAGGGAGGAGATGCAAACCTTATGATCATCTTTTAATCTTATAAATAAAAATTTTAAAAGTTATGCTTCACCTGCAGTGTTTGTGGTTGCAAAATAAACTCTGATAGGACAAGTGTCATATTTCATTTATTCCTTCTATAAATGAAACATCATATAAAAGCTGCCACAGCAATGTCAATGCTTTCTCCTATGAAGTCCTTAGGTAGAAAACTTATCTCCTGACAAGGCTTTGGAAGATAAGTCTTCATTCGTGACTTTTAAACTTTATTTTACAGAGAGCCCTTAGTAATAAATTACTACACTCCAAGGTCAGCTCTGTTTCTACTTTAAAAATCTTACCAAAGGCTATAAAAATCTTCTTGAGAAGACAGAATCCTGCAGCTATTTTACAGTGTGCTACTTAGAACAAAGTTAAATAATAAAAGGAGGTACAATTGTTAATACATTATCAAATTACTTAAAAGATAATCTTTCATGATTTCTACTTGCTCTTAAACTACAAATATTTTTTAAATAAACATTTAAAAGAAATTTTACTACTTTAAATGTTTTATCAATAACTCTTATTTGGCAGATTTTCTTTGTTCATTATCTACTAGAAAAAGTATAGGATTATGTTGTGTACTTTTGTTTTATATACAGTTGACCCTTGAACAACACAGGTTGAACTGTGTGAGTACACTGAAAAATGGATTTTATTCCACCTCTGCCACCCCTGAGACAACAAGACCAACCCCGTTGTCTTCCTCCTCATCAGCCTATTCAATATAAGGACAACCAGGATGAAGACCTTTATTATGATCCACTTCCACTTACTGAACAGTAAATACATTTTCTCTTATGATTTTGTTAATAACATTTTCATTTCTCTCAAACTCCTAGCCTCAAGCGATTCTTCCACCTCAGCCTCCCAAAGTGCTGGAAGGCCACCATGCCTGGCCACATTTTATTTTCTTTAGCTCACTTTATTGTAGAAATACAATATATAATACATATAACATACAAAGTATGTGTTAATTGACCATTAATGTAATTAGTAAAGTTGCTGGTCAACAGTAAGCTATTAGTAGTTACATTTTTGGGGAGTCAAAAGTTATACATAGATTTCTTTTTTTTTTTTTTTTTTGAGATGGAGTCTTGCTCTGTTGCCCAGGCTGGAGTGCAGTGGCGTGATCTCGGGTCACTGCAACCTCCGCCTCTCGGGTTCACGCCATTCTCCTGCCTCGGCCTCCCGAGTAGCTGGGACTACAGGCTCCTGCCACCACGCCCGGCTAACTTTTTGTATTTTTAGTAGAGAGGGGGTTTCACTGTGTTAGCCAGGATGGTCTCAAACTCCTGACCTCGTGATCCACCCATCTCGGCCTCCCAAAGTGCTGGGATTACAGGCGTGAGCCACCACGACCGGCCTATACACAGATTTTTAATTGTGTGAGAATTTGGGGGTTGGTGCTCTAACCCTCGCATTGTTCAAGGGTCATCTGTATTTAGTTTTTGAATTCTTCTCCTTATAGTTTATTCACTCTCTACTGTCTCATTAAGTGCTTTCATTCCTTCACTTGCCAACAAACATATGATAATTTTTTACGTTTGTTTTTTCAGAGGTTCTTCTTGGAATCTTCCTAATGTTTCAGGCATAACTGTTCACCTCATGGTCAGTATCAGTTTCTCCTCTGACAAATCATATGTGATTAAAAATACAAGCATCTGTTGCGAGGTCTTTAGTTTCATAGCACAGACTTGACTATTCTTATACTACAATGTTTTAATTATTATAACTTTACAAATATGTTTTAGTATCAGTAAAGCAAGTTCCTTCTCCTTACTCTTCTTTCATTTATATTTTTTCTTGTAATATTTGTTCATGTGTTATTCCAGAAGCAACATAAAATACTTTAAAATTGTTTTAAATTCTGTTAATATGTTTTTGTTTTGTTTTGTTTTGAGAAGAGTCTTCCTCTGTCACCCAAGCTAGAGTGCAGTGGCTCAATCTCCGCTCACTGAAACCTCCACCTCCCAGATTCAAGCAATTCTCCTGCCTCAGCCTCCCAAGTAGCTAGGAGGTGCAACCATGTCCAGCTAATTTTTGTATTGTTTTTAGTAGAGATGGGGTTTCACCATGTTGGCAGGCTGGTCTTATACTCCTAACCTTAGGTGGTTCACCCACCTCAGCCTATACTTTAGTATTTAAATTACAAACTACAACTGTAATTCACAGAAGAGGGAGGCCATATTTAATTTATTTTGGAATTCAATTAAAATTTATAGGCATAATATTTTCATGTTTGCTAAAAGACATTGCTTTAACATATTGGAAAACACTAACTTTGAAAATAATTAAAATGAATATACTATGTATGAAAACTTTTAGGTACAAAGTCAAACTTGAAGCAGTTCTATGGTATTTTTATTATTAGCCGAAAGAATTAAAATAAATTCACTACACATAATGCTTAAAAAGGTAGAAAGAAAACACAACATCTAAAGTAACCAGGACAAAAAAATTAATAAATTCACTTATAGATTTCAATTCAAAAATCCTAAGTAAAATGCTCAATAAAAAAATGAAAATATACTTCAAAATGATCAATGAAGGAAAAAGTTGATACTTAAGAGGAAAATCTGTTTCTTTTGTATTAATCAAAAAAGAAGTTTAACAACCCAGAAGAAGGTTGAAATTTTTTTCTAAACCGTAAAGATAAATTAACGTGATTAAGAATTTCTATTTCTAACCAAATTCTCATCTTATATTTAATAAAGCACCCCTAATCAAAGTTAAATATAGGAATGACATGGCTGGCATCACCATCTCTATTTTTCCTGGAATTCAAACTAATGCTTTGAAATAAACCAAAACAAGAAGGAAGGAAGGAAGGAAAATGAAGAGAAAGAAGGGTAGAGGAGGAGGTGGAGGAAGAGAAACTGTGGTATAAATATTGGAAAAAAACACAAATATACTTGGATTATAATAGGATTATCATCAGTGCCCTAAGGAAATATTAGCTACTAATTAAAAAGGCACAGAATTTCTATGAAAACAAAAGCAAACTAGAAAATATTACAAAGAAAAATATTTAAATGAATGGCCATATATTTCCTACTGTGTGTGTGTGTGTGTGTGTGTGTGTGTGTGTGTGTGTGAGACTAAATATGGTGACTGTATCAATTGCCTCCAAATTAATTTATATGCTAAATGCAGTTCAAATAAAAATCTTGGCCAGGCTCATGCCTGTAATCCAAGCACTTTGGGAGGCCGAGGCAGGTGGATCACCTGAGGTTAGGAATTCGAGACCAGCCTGGCCAACATGGTGAAACCCCGCCTCTACTAAAACTACAAAATATTAGCAGAATGTTGGGGTGCATGCCTATAGTCCCAGCTACTTGGGAGGTTGAGTCATGAGAATCACTTGAACCCAGGAGCTGGAGGCTGCAGTGAGCCGAAATCGCACCACTGCACTCCAGCCTGGGTGACAGAGCAAGACTCTGCCTCAAAAAAAAAAAAAAAAAAAAAAAAAGAAAAGAAAAAAGAAAAAAGTGGATTTTCTTTATTATACCGCATAAAATGATATATTTGTAATTTCTGAAATCAAACTTTCAAGTCATGTTATTTATATCTTCTATACCCTTATTTATACTTTAACTTGTCAAAGATTGATAGAATAGTGTGATCTCTTCTACTGCATTATTATCAATGAATACTTGTATTCCTAAAATATTTTGCTTTATATATTTTCATACTTTCTGTACTTAATGATTCATAACTTATTTTCATTGTGTTATATACTTTTTAATATTTTTTTACCTCAAGTTCTGTTTAATCTACAAAAACTACTTTTAAAATGTTTGAAATGTTTGTATTGTTTGATATATTTTTTCTGCCTCTAAAAAAACAATTGGAATGTTAGTTCCAGTAAAAGAGAGTTATGTATTATATCTATAACTTGAAACCATCTTGGACCAGAGGTCAAAATATGTGCATTTTATATTTCAGGCTGTTATAGGATACATCATATAATTGCATGCATTCAATTTTTAAAATTCCAGATAAAAATTTTTCTTTTTATTTAAATCCATATACATTTTTAGTCATAAACTATTTGCTTATATCTTTGGTCAGCTTGAATTTTGCAAACTTCTTTTTTTACTCCTTGTATGACTCCTTGTTAATATAATCTATTTTTTGACCCACACAATTTTATTTAAATATGATTTTTATATTACATAGCTCCTTTTGCAAAATTCATTTTTGATGTTAGTTTTGTATTGAAACTTTGAATCATTTAGACTTACTTTATTTTTGCCTTGTTTCGTCATTTGTCATTTTATTTAAGTTCCTACAAGCCCCCTATTCTTGAGCTATTAATTTTGCTTCATTTCTCAATTATTTTGGGATACTTTTTCCTTAAAAATATGATTTTTCTATTTTCAGCTTCCTTGATTATATCAGAATGTCCTTATCCTTAATTTGACTGGGTAATATTCTTGAATGTTGTTTTTTTCTTTCTCCTGTATAAGTGAAACCTTAATGTTTAACCTCTCGTTGAAGCAGAGGGCATGTATTTGAGGATGTTAGTAAATGTCTCCTTACTTTTGGTAATACAGACTCTTTCATGACCCCTAAACATGCTGCTTTGGGAAGCCTAGGTTGTCTTTTTACTAATTGCCACATGTGGAGGTCCAGATTCAATTGCCATCCTATCTGACATCCTTTAACACTGTGAGCAATGCAAAATCCAGATTGTAAAAGGACTAGTAGGCAATAAATACTTAACGAAATGAATTCAGACAATGTAAACTGAATGTAGCTGGTGGTAAAGGGAATGAGAGAGGAGCAGTAGTAACTAGAGGTGGAGATTGGTTGAGGGAAGTTATTTTCTGAATGGGAAAGACGTGTGCGTGGCTGAAGGAAGCAGGAAAGAACCTTGTGGAACAGAATAGTTCGAAAATGCCCAAGAATGGGGACTAATGTGTGAGGCAGTGTTGCAGAGAGCACCAGAGAGGTTAGAATCTGTCTTAGTATGTTTGGGCCATTGCAACAGAATAGACTCAGCAGCTGATCTTAGACATTTCTAGCCCATAAAACTGTGAGAAATATTTGGAGGCTGGGAAGTCCGAGATCACAATGCTGGCACATTTGGTGCCTGGTGGGGGCCTGCTTCCTGGCTCATAGATGACCATATTCTTGAAAGGGGTGAGAAAGCTCTCCAGTGTCTCTCTTATAAGGGCACCAATCCCATTCACGAGGGGCCCTGCACTAGTGACCTAATCACCTACCAAAGTCCCCACCTCCTAATACGTCACCTTGGGGGCTAAGGTTTCAGCATACGAATTTTGTGGGGAAACAAACATTCATTGTTAGCAAGGGGAGTATACAATTACCTAATACATGCTTTGAGATGCTGAGGATGTACATTTTCCACAAAAGTCTGTCTTTTTGTAAATCTTTAGCGTCAATAGTCAAACCCGCCCTTCAGAATTTCTAAATTCAAAGTAGGTTCCACTCTTTTTAGTCAGTCTTTCCTGAAGAGATTTTAAAAATGCCTAAAATATGATGAGAATAAATAATGCCATGTTAATGTTTGCCTGCTAATTTTTGTGTAGTTTGATACTTACAGTTTTACATCAGATTTTAGCCATGAACATGAGAGTCTTGACTATAGCATGTCTTATGCCACATAGTTTGGCCTCTGAATTTTAAAGATAATTAAAGAGAATTACCACTATATTGACATGGACTAAAAAAAGCGTTTAAAATTCATAGCTGTAATGTTTCTTTGTAAAACAAAAATAAGGAGCACAAATGAACAATTGTGCCATAAGCGATCAGTAGAACACTTTCTTTAATATTTTATTTTATTATTATTATTTGTTACCCGTTGCCCAAGCTGGAGTGCAGTGGCATGATCTTGGCTCACTGCAACCTCCGCCTCCCAGGTTCAAGCGATTCTCCTGCTTCAGCACGGCCCCCTCACCCCCCACCCCCACTCAGGGAACCCCATCCCTGCCCCGAGTAGCTGGGATTACAGGCACCTGCCACCACGCCCAGCTGATTTTTTTGTGTTTTTAGTAGAGACAGGGTTCTACCATATTGGCCAGACTGGTTTCCAACTCCTGACCTCAGGGTGATCCACCCACCTCAGCCTCCCAAAGTGCTGGTGAAAGGGGAAAGGCCCCTTTGTCCCCCTCGCAGGGCGTGCGATGGGGGTGTGACTCGCTTCTTCAGTGCTTCGCTGCTCAAACCTCTAGGGCAGCACACAGACGAGCAGGCTGTGGGGCTTCAACTCCACAGCAGCGTCTAGGGGTGAATATTTACAGCTCCTGAAGCTCTTTTAGTTTCGCCGTCTATAGGCGGCTTGTGTTAACCAGCTCACTTAGACCCTCTACCTTGTTGCAAGGACAGAGGACTTTCTGTATCCTGGGTTCTTGCCTTGGTGAGCTGGAAGCATTGGATCACATGTGGGCTCAGAGAATGAGTGCAAAGTTTTATTGAGTGGGAGTAGCTCTCACCCGATAGGGGAGCCAGAAGGGCGATGGTTTTCCCCTGGAGTTGGGCAGCTCAGCGGCCTGACTCTTCTCCGACCACTCGGGCCAAACTCTGCAGTTCTGCCAGTCACCGGCCTGCTGGCCTGCCGGTTCCTGTCGGAATACTCTTCCGCAGCGCACTATTGTGACCAGCCACTTGTGTCTTCTTCCGCCAATGTGCGCCTCTCCACATCCAGCCACTTGTGTGTCTGTCTGCTAGGGACTTTGGTTTTTAAGGCCCAGGATGAGGATGTGTCCGCCCAGCGTGGTCTTGGAAAATGAAATATTTTGGGCGGCAAAAGCAGGAGTGCTTGTCCTCACCTAGTTCCGTGGGGGTAGAGCCCTAGCCTGGGACCCGGCTTTCTCTACCTAGCACTGTCCCCGTCCCATATCACTGGGATTATAGGTGTGAGCCACCACACCCAGCTAATATTTTCTTTTAATCTCAAACCCTGTTCCTTACAAAAAATCTTTTGGTCTGTGTATTTTAGGTATTTAGGTGGCTTAGAATCGCTTTCCTTAACTGTTGTGCATGTGCAAGTGTTTATGTAGACAGACACAACTCTTCCATAATGAGCATAATAATGTCATAAAAAATTTATTGAATGTGTATAGGCTTTGCATCTGTTGTTTATACATGTCAATATTGAAAATGGAACTGCATAGACTGATGAGCCTGATATTAATTAAATGAGAATTACACCTGGTCTTACATGCATTATCCCTCAAATGTTGGATAAAATAGTTTATTCCATACTGCCGTACTTCCAAATTTACATATGCCAATATTTAAATAATTATGCATGTTTTAACAATTGATTAGAAAGCTAAGTTGAAAGAAATTACTCAATCTGGCAAGATGGCTCCAGTCTGCAGCTCCCAGCAAGACCAATGCAGAAGGCAGGTGATTTCTGCATTTCTATCTGAGGTACCCAGTTCATCTCATTGGGACTGGTTAGGCAGTGGGTGCAGCCCACAGAGGGCAAACAGAAGCAAAGTGGGGCGTCACCTCACCGGAAAGTGTAAGGAGCCAGGGACCTCCCTCCTCCACCCAAAGGGAAGCTGTGAGGGACTGTGCTATCTGGCCTGGGTACTACGCTTTTCCCAGGGTTTTTGCAATCCACAGGTCAGGAGATTCCCTAGTGTGCCTACACCACCAGGGTTCTGGGTTTCAAGCACAAAACTGGGCGGTTATTTGGGCAGACGCTGAGTTAGCTGCAGAAGTTTTTTTTTTTTTTTCTTGTACCCCAGTGGCTCCTGGAACCCCAGTGGGGCAGAACCGTTCACTCCCCTGGAAAGGGGGCTGAAGCCAGGGAGCCAAGTGGTCTCACTCAGCGAGCAGGTCCCACTCCCACAGTGCCCAGCAAGATAAGAACCACTGGCTTGAAATTCTCACTGCCAGCTCAGCAGTCTGAAGTCAACCTGGAATGATAGAGCTTGGTAGGAGGAGGGGCGTCCACCATTACTGAGGCTTGAGTAGGTGGTTTTCCCCTGATAGTGCTAAGGGGGCCTGGAAGTTTGGACTGGGCAGAACTCAACACAGCGTGGCAAAGTGGCTGTGGCCGGACTGCCTCTCTGGATTCCTCGTCACTCAGCAGGGCATCTCTGAAAGAAATGCCAGTCAGGGGCTTATAGATAAAACTCCCATCTCCCTGGGACAGAGCACCTGGGGGAAGGGGCGGCTGTGGGGACAGCTTCAGCAGACTTAAACTTTCCTGCCTGCTGGCTCTGAAGAGAGCAGCTGATCCTGACAAGGAGTATTCTCCCAGCATAGTGCTCAAGCTCTGCTAAGGGACAGACTGCCTCCTCAAGTGGGTCCCTGATCCCCCAAGCCTCCTGACTGGGAGAGACCTCCCAGCAGGGACTGACAGACACCTCATACAGGAGAGCTCCAGCTGGCATCAGCCTGGTGTCCCTCTGGGACGAAGCTTCCAGAGGAAGAAGCAGGCAGCAATCTTGGCTGTTCTGCAGCCTCCACTGGTGATACCCAGGCAAAGAGGGTCTGAAGTGGACCTCTAGTAAACTGCAGCAAACCTGTAGAAGAGAGGCCCGACTGTTAGAAGAAAAACTAATAAACAGAAAGCAACAACATCAACGTCAACAAAACTGACCCCTACACAAAAAGCCCATCGAAAGGTCATCAGCCTCAAAGATCAAAGGTAGGTAAATCCACGAGGATGAGGAAAAACCAGTGCAAAAAGGCTGAAAATTCCGAAAAACAGAATGCCTCTTCTCCAAATGATCGCAACTCCTCTCCAGCAAGGGCACAAAACTGGATGGAGAATGAGATTGACAAATTGACAGAAGTAGGCTTCAGAAGGTGGGTAATAACAAACTCCTTTGAGCTAAAGGAGCATGACCTAACCCAATGCAAGGACACTAAGAACCTGGATAAAAGGTCACAGGAACCACTAACTAGAATAACCAGTTTAGAGAAGAACATAAATTACCTGATGGAGCTGAATAACACAGCCCAAGAACTTTGTGAAGCACACACAAGTATCGGTAGCCAAATCAAGTGGAAGAAAGGATATCAGAGATTGAAGATCAACTTACTGAAATAAGACATGAAGACAAGATTAGAGAAAAAAAAAATGAAAAGGAACAAACAAAGCCTCCAAGAAATATGGGACTATGTGAAAAGACCAAACCTATGATTGATTGGTGTACCTGAAAGTGATGGGGAGAATGGAACCAAGCTGGAAAACACACTTCAGGATATTATCCAGGAGAACTTCCCCAACCTAGCAAGACAGGCCAACATTCAAACACAGGAAATACAGAGAACACCACTAAGATACTCCTCAAGAAGAGCAACCCCAAGACACATAATCGTCAGATTCTCCAAGCTTGAAATGAGGAAAAAAATGTTCAGGGTAGCCAGAGAGAAAGGTCAGGTCACCTACAAAGGGAAGCCTATCAGACTAACAGCGGATCTCTCTGCAGAAACCCTAGAAGCCAGAAGAGAGTGGAGGCCAATATTCAACATTCTTAAAGAAAATAATTTTCAAATCAGAATTTCATATCCAACCAAACTAAGCTTCATAAGCGAAGGAGAAATAAAATCCTTTCTAGACAGGCAAATGCTGAGGGATTTTTCTCACCACCAGGCCTACCTTACAAGAGCTCCTGAAGGAAGCACTAAATATAGAAAGGAAAAACCAGTACTGGCCACTGCAAAAACACACCAAAATATAAAGACCAATGACACTATGATGAAACTGCTTCAAATAATGTGCAAAACAACCGCTAGCATCACAATGACAGGATCAAATTCACCTACAACAATGTTAACCTTAAATGTAAATGGGCTAAATGCCCCAATTAAAAGATACAGACTGGCAAATTAGATAAAGAGTCAAGACCCATCCGTATGCTGTATTCAGGGGACCCATCTCACCTGCAAAGACACACATAGACTCAAAATAATGGGATGGAAGAATATTTACCAAGCAAATGGAAATTAAAAAAAGGCAGGGGTTGCAATCCTAGTCTCTAGTAAAACAGACTTGAAACCAACAAGGATCAAAACAGACAAAGAAGGGCATGACATAATGGTAAAGGGATCAATGCAACAAGAAGAGCTAACTGTCCTAAGTATATATGCACCCAATACAGGAGCACCCAGATTCATAAAGCAGGTTTGTAGAGACCTACAAAGAGTCTTAAACTCCCACACAATAGTAGTGGAAGACTTTAACACCCCACTGTCAATATTAGATCAACGAGACAGAAAATTAACAAGGATATTCAGGACTTGAACTCAGCTCTGGATGAAGCGGACCTAATAGCCATCTACAGAACTCTCCACCCCAAATCAACAGAATATGCATTCTTCTCAGCACCACATAGCATTTATTCTAAAATCGACCACATAATTGGAAATAAAACACTCCTCAGCAAATGCAAAAGAATGGAAATAATAACAAACAGCTCTCAGACCACAACGCAATCAAATTAGAACTCAGGATTAAGAAACTCACTCAAAAGTGCACAACTACATGGAAATTGAACAAACTGCACCTGAATGACTGCTTGGTAAATAATGAAATTAAGGCATAAATAAAGAAGTTATTTGAAACTGATGAGAACAAAGAGACAACGTACCAGAATCTCTGGGACACAGGTAAAGTAATGTTAACAGGGAAATTTATAGCACTAAATGCCCACATCAGAAAGGTAGAAAGATCTGAAATCGACACCTGAACATCACAATTAAAAGAACTAGAGAAGCAAGAGCAAACAAATTCAAAAGCTAGCAGAAGGCAAGAAATAACTAAGATCAGAGCAGAACTGAAGGAGATAGAGACACGAAAAACCCTTCAAAAAGTTAATGAATCCAGCAGCTGGTTTTTTGAAAAGATTAACAAAACAGATAGACTGCTAGCTAGGCTAATAAAGAAGAAAAGAGAGAAAAATCAAATAGACACAATAAAAAATGATAAAGGGGATATCACCATTGATCCCACAGAAATACAAACTACCGTCAGAGAATACTATAAACACCTCTACACAAATAAACTAGAAAATCTAGAAGAAATGGATAAATTCCTGGACACACACACCCTCCCAAGAGTAAACCAGGAAGACGTCGAATCCCTGAATAGACCAATAACAAGTTCTGAAATTGAGGCAGTAATTAATAGGCTATCAACCAAAAAAAGTCCAGGAGCAGATGGATTCACAGCTGAATTCTACCTGAGGTACAAAGAGGAGTTGGTACCATTCTTCTGAAACTATTCCAAACAATAGAAACAGAGAGACTCCGCCCTAATTCATTTCATGAGACCAGCATCATCCTGATACCAAATCTGGCAGAGACACAACAACAAAAAAAAATTTCAGGCTAATGTTCCTGATGAACATCAATACAAAAATCCTCAATAACATACTGACAAACCAAATCCAGTAGCACATCAAAAAGCTTATCCACCATGATCAAGTCGGCTTCATCCTTGGGATGCAAGGCTGGTTCAACATACACAAATCAATAAACATAATCCATCACATAAACAGAATCAATGACAAAAACCACAGGATTATCTCAATAGATGCCAAAAAGTCCTTTGATATAATTCAACGCCCCTTCCTGCCAAAAACTCTCAATAAAGTAGGTATTGATGGAACATATCTTAATATAATAAGAGCTACTTATGACAAACCCATAGCCAATGTCATACTAAATGGGCAAAAGCTGGAAGCATTCCCTTTGAAAACAGGCACAAGGCAAAGATGCCCTCTCTCACCTCTCCTATTCAACGTAGTACTGGAAGTTCTGGCCGGAGAATCAGGCAAGAGAAAGAAATATAGGATATCAAATAGGAAGAGAGGAAGTCAAATTGTCTCTGTTTGCAGATGACATGATTGTATATTTAGAAAACCCCATTGTCTCAGCCCAAAAACCCATTAAGCTGATAAGCAACTTCAGCAAAGTCTCAGGATACAAAATCAATGTGAAAAAATCAGAAGCATTCCTATACACCAATAACAGACAAGCAGAGAGCCAAATTATGAGTGAACTCCCATTCACAATTGCTACAAAGAGAATAAAATACCTAGGAATACAATTTACAAGGGACGTGAAGGACCTCTTCAAGGAGAACTACAAAACCACTACTCAAGGAAATAAGAGAGGACACAAACAAATAAAAAAAAATTCCATGCTCATGGATAGGAAGAATCAATATTGTGAAAATGGCCATACTGCCCAGAGTAATTTATAGATTCAATGCTCTTCCCATCAAGCTACCAGTGACTTTCTTCACAGAATTAGAAAAAACTACTTAGATTTCATATGGAACCAAAAAAGAGCCCCTATAGCCAAGACAATCCTAAGCAAAAAGAACAAAGCTGGAGGCATTACACTACCTGACTTCAAACTATACTACAAGGCTACAGTAACCAAAACAGCATGGTACTGGTACCAAAACAGACATATAAACCAATGGAAAAGAACAAAGGCCTCAGAAATAACACCACACATCTACAACCATCTGATCTTCGACAAACCTGACAAAAACAAGCAATGGGGAAAGAATTCCCTATTTAACAATTGGTGCTGGGAAAACTGGCTACCAATATGGAGAAAACAGAAACTGGACCCCTTCCTTACACCTTATACAAAAATTAACTCAAGACGGATTAAAGACTTAAACATAAAACCGAAAACAAAAAACCCTAGAAGAAAACCTAGGCAATACCATTCAGGACATGGGCATGGGCAAAGACTTCATAACTAAAACACCAAAAGCAATGGCAACAAAAACCAAAATCGACAAATGTGATCTAATTAAACTAAATAGCTTCTACACAGCAAAAGAAACTATCGTCACTGTGAACAGGCAACCTAGAGAATGGGAGAAAATTTTTGCAATCTATCCATCTGACAAAGGTCTAATATCCAGAATCTACAAGAAACTTAAACAAATTTACAAGAAAAAGACAACCCCATCAAAAAGTGGGTGAAGGATATGAACAGACACTTCTCAAAAAAAGACATTTATGTGGCCAACAAACATGTGAAAAAAAGCTCATCATCACTGAGCATTAGAGAAATGCAAATCAAAATCACAATGAGATACCATCTCATGCCAGTTAGAATGGTGATCATTAAAAAGTCAGGAAACAGCAGATGCTGGCAAGGATGTGGAGAAATAGGAATGCTTTTACACTGTTGATGGGAGTATAAATTAGTTCAACCATTGTGGAAGACAGTGTGGTGCTTCCTCAAGGGTCTAGAACCAGAAATCCCATTACTGGGTATATACTCAAAGGATTATAAATCATTCTATTAAAAAGATACATGCACACATATGTTTACTGCAGCACTATTAACCATAGCAAAGACTTGGAACCAACCCAAATGCCAATCAATGATAGACTGGATAAAGAAAATGTGGCACATATACACCATGGAATACTATGCAGCCATAAAGAAGAATGAGTTCATGTCCTTTGCAGGGACATGGATGAAGCTAGAAACCATCATTCTCAGCAAACTAACACAGGAATGGAAAACCAAACACTGCATATCCTCACTCATAAGTGGGAGTTGAACAATGAGAACACACAAACAGAGGGAGGGGAACATCACACACTGGGCCCTGTCTAGGGGTGGGGGGCTAGTGGAGGGAGAGCATTAGGTCAAATACCTAATGCATGAAGGGCTTAAAACCTACACAATGGGTTGATAGGGGCAGCAATCCACTATGGCACATGTACACCTATGTAACAAACCTGCACATTCTGCACATGTACCTCAGAACTTAAAGTGAAATAAAATAAAATAATGTATATATATATACACTTATATATTTATATGTATATAGATAGATATAGATATGGATAAAGATATATTAAGGCACAATCAGAACCATATGTTTCAACACTGGACTATATTCTTATTTGTCCATAACTGTATAGCTCTTATCTATTTTATGATTGTTTTCATCCATGTAGGTAGATCCCTACAACTAGACTGTAAGTTTCACAGATAGGAATCAGGCCACATCGCTGATAAATACCAATAAATACCCAGGACAGCCCTGAAGGGCAGAAGTGTTAGACACTCCCCGCCAAAAGAAGAAATTACTCTTTTAACAATTATTTTAAATACATGTTAATAGTTTAGTGCATTTGAAATAGAAGATGGAATTGAAGCTGTATGATCTTAGAGGAAATCATTCTCAATTACTTTTAAAACCATAACTAGTAATGAGTTTTCAATTTAAACGGACATAAAGTTGTGAGAAGTAAATTTTCTGATCAAATCAGGTGGCTTTTCCATTTGTATTTAAGAGGCTAGCTGGCACCAAGCAGTAACCAAGGCAGTCCATCTGGAAACTAGTTTGTATAGCTGATGCTAATATAAAAAAGAAAGAAACAAAATGTGATTTGATTAATTGATTTACTATATATAGTTTAATCAAGAATTGGCAGATAAAGGGATTCATTAAAAAGTATACAAAAGTTCATGTTGTTCAAGTGAATACAATTAACAACTTAAAATTTTAAAAAAATATTTGGCTAGGACACAATGAAATAAAGAATAATATAGCTACAGGTATAATATTTTGTCAATAAATTCAAGAACCAAAATTATATTCCCTACTTAATCTTTAGTTTTTAGTCCCTAAATATCCCGAAGGATACTTTGTGAACTAAATAGAGAGGCACAGATTACAATGGGAATGAGTTAAAATGATTGTATGTTTATTATAAAAATGTAGCAAAATTTATAGGCTTTACTCTATCAGAAAAATAAAGGCAAAGACAATGTAAAACAAAAGCATGAATCAGATGCAGTTTTTCAACAACTAGGACAGATTAAAAAAAGTATGTTTATTTTTATAAGCATTTTCACAGCTCAAGCAACCTAAATTTAAAGAGATCATAGGACCTTCTTACAAAATAAAAATTCAGCCTCTAAATGACAACTACTTTTTGGAAACCTAAATAAGGAAATTAAAACCAAATAAGTTATGGGGCCAGTAAGTTATGGCTCAAGGAGAGGAAATTAGCCTGATGTTTTTCTGCTGGATGAAACAATATTATATACATACATATATATGTGTATATATACAGATATATGTTTATATAAGTAAATATACATAAATACATTTTCTTCTTCTTTTGTAGTTTATAAGACTTTGAATTTTTACATAAAAAAGAGGAAGACTGAGATATCATGCAATGCCAGCATCATTATATATCTTGAACTCAGACAAAATGACAGAGACTGCATGTCTCCCCTACCTCGTGTCAAACTCTAACTTCCTGGTAATGAAATGAATGAACTGTGGCCACATACCACTAGATTTCATGGATAGCTCTGTTGACTTGAGAAAAATTGAATTCTGAAGGGGCAGAGTTGCTGACAGATGTCACATCAGACTCTCACGTGAACACATACTATTAGTATATACTAAGGGAAAGAAAAGATATACTTACATGTGTTCAGTAGTGATGTGAAACTGGATGCTCTCATCTCCAAATAAAAACACGTGGCTTCTTTTTCTTTTCTTTTCTTTTCTTTTCTTTTTGTTAATTGGCTAATTATATTGGTTAGTCTGTTTATGAAAATAGGAGAGTATGATTTGGGGAGGCCAGGCAAACATTCCCATCTAAATTATCCTGGGTAGTCTGGAATCAGAAGAGTGGGTCTCAGCCCCAGTTTTGAAGTCTGTATGGCCCTCTATTAGAGTATCTGATTAAGATTCAAATTTCCTATTTGTAAATAGCCAATTTCTATTTGTAAAAAACCAATCAGTTACATTACTTCTAAGATGGTGTGTCCAAATCTAAGCTGTTCTAAATTTGCTTAATAAAGGCATTCAAATTCTCATGAAGATAGGGTCAGAGCATGGGCTTTGGAAAGCTAAGAGGGCTATTTGAAGAACCTTCAAGGTCCAAATCAGTAGAGATTTGTATTCTGCAACTGTATTTGTCAAGTATATATAGCAGCAAGTCAAATAAATTTTTTTAAATGACAGCTTAGCAGAGATTTTTAGTTTCCTTTAAAATGCCTCACTTCTAAAAAGACATGAATTCTCATCTTCTATGTAAAGTATGAAATGAGTAGAAAACCAATCCCAGATAGCCATAATCTATACACTATATCACCTAAAGGAAATGATGGGGAGAGGGAGAAGATGCTGCACACATATGTAGAGTGGGTAAAAGTTGTCTTCTGAGCACTAGTCTTTCTGTTGCTTCAACGTTTCTTATCTGCCACGGTAGGCCTGTTTCCCAGGGATGATGTGAAGTTCAGGGGTGAATTAAGAGACTGTGTGTGGGGCTAGGAATGGGGCAGCTAGGGTTTAGCTTTAGTGAAGGAAAATCCATATTGTTGAGTTCATGCAAGGCCCTGTGCTCACCCTGTGGGACCTTTGTTCATAGGCCCATTCAACAAGCATTAAGAGTAGCTGGAATTAAAAATTGGCTAATATCCATGGGTCAGGTGTTTTTACTTATTGATTTATTAAAATCTTTCTCCGCAGTGAATGCCCTCTGGTGACAATTGCATGGAATGTATCTATTCCAAGAAGTTCATCGACATGTCCCTCCCTATTTCCTCCTTGTTATTATTCTTTCAATATTGTTCTTTCCATGTCCCTGACCAACTAATAACCTTGTTGGCTGCTCTTATGAATCAACATAAATCTGTACCTGCAGCCATCTCTCTTTCCCTACCAAGTAGACAACTAGGTGTTCTGTTCCTTTGGAGGACTTTCCCTAGTCCTGTCTTTCAGGGCCACCTCTGAGTAGAGTTGTAATCACTGGTTATCTACTTTCTGGAACTTGTCAGCCTGCAATACTGAGCCCTGATTGCAAGTTAAGAAAAAAGTGGGCAAAGCACTAGAAGCAGAATCCATGGGATTCTGAGCCACACATTCGTTCAATTTAGTAGAGCCTCAGATATGCTAAAGCTCAATCTTACATTCCATTTTTTATTTAATATTGGAGCATCACTGCACCTATACAATTTAATAATTGTAGATCATAATGTGGGTGGTTCAGATTGCATAGTCACTGGAAGTCCCTTGGTGAAGTCTTCAATCTCTACTGAAGCAAGCTAGGAGATGATTTGCAAATGGAAAATGGTTAAATCAAGAGGATATGATCTCACTAAAAAACCCTAGGGGCTTTCCTATCAGGGGTTGCCAGGTATTCCATAGATCCTCTCTTCCTGCCACAGACTCTCTGAATACAGATGGATCTTCTGGCTCCTAATGCCTGGGTGGCAAGGCAGTTTACACTGCAGCTGCACCTGTTGGGAAATGCTCTTGACACCACTCAAAACTGCCTTATGGATTACCAATAAACAAGTTACAGCAATATGTTCAAACTCAACATATGTGGCTTCCAATATCCAGAGATCCACAAAATTGTGCCTATTTCTTTGTGGTGGGCATTACAATGTGTGCCTCATTTTAGAATGGGCATCACAACAAGCTCTAGACTGTATAGATGCCTAGAAGCTTCACTGAAAGATGAATAATATATATATTACTTGCCTTTTTCTCACTAAGGCACATATATATATATACATATACGTATACATGTATATATTTGACTTGTCTTTGGAAAGTGTATGAATATGATACCTATTCACTTTGAATGTGGAGAGATGAGATCATGGTTTATATTCTGTAATAGAATCACTTATTTGCATTTTAATGATATGCCATGGAAAGGCTGTAATTCTAACATTAGCAAAAATGCATTAATGTAAAATGGCAACATTAGCCTGAGATTTAAGCAACAATGAGTATGCATTCACATTATTCAAAATGTGTGAAGTGTGTGTGTGTGAGTGTGTGTGGTCCCTTTGAGATCTACTTTTACATTTTATTGCTTTTACACCCTTAGAATTATTTGTGAGGAAAATATGTGTGCTAGAAAGTGATTTAGTGTGTTGACAGGTGGCTCCCCAAAAAAGATATGTTCACATCCCAGGATCTGTGAACGAGACCTTATTTGGTAAAGGGCTGTTTATACATGTAGTTAAACTAAGGTTCTTGAAATAAGATTATCCTGGATTATCCAGATGGGTCCTAAATCCAATGGCAAGTGTCCTTATCAGAGACACACAGAGGAGAGGCACACAGAGAAGAGGAAAAGCTATGTGAAGACAGAGACCAAGAAAAACTTGCAGCCTGGAGAAGCTGGAAAAGATGAGAAAGGATTCTCCCCTAACCCTTCACAGGCAGTACAGTCCTGCCGACACCTTAATTTCATACCTCTGGCCTCCAGAGCTGTGAGAGAATAAATTTCTGTAGTGTTAAGCTGCCAAGTTTGTGGTAATTTGTTATGGCAGCCCTGGGAAGCAGATATAGTCATCCATAAACATTTAACTTCAGCACATTTTCCAATGGAAATGATGCTGTGTATTTGGGGCATAAAAAATGACTATGGTGTAATGTCTTTTCCTAGAGGGCAAACAGGCACATATACAATTAACTCAGTATAGCAATGCTGAGTTAGCAGTATAAGGGGAGCACAGAAGAAGAAGTGATAACTTTTGGCAGGATTATTCAGGAAATGTCAAGTGGTCTGATGCGGTTGGAGTATAAGCATGCATGACAGAGAGGGACAAGAGATGAGAATATGAAAGAACATAGAGGGAAGACTGAATAATCTTGATTACTGTTTTAAAGAGTTTAGGACTTCATCCTGTGGATTTGGAATAGTCAACCTTGAATGACAACTATTAGAGATAGGTAGTTGCTGTCTGGAGTTTAGTGTTTAGATGGATTGTGAAGCATATTGGGCTCATTTATTCACTCATCAAAAATTTAGTGAGAATATGTTATGAGCCAGTACTATGAAAAGGACTTGGAATGACAAAGTAGACCCTGCTTCATTGAGCATATAAATGAAAGGAGAAAAAGAACCATGGGCATGTGGGGAGAAGACATGTTTACAATTCGTTTACCAGCTATGCGTTAAGAAATGCGGAGCTATTGAGGGTTTGCAACCGAGTAGTGACCTGAATATAACTGCATGTCATGGAAATCATTCAGTTATTGAGAAAAATGTATTGCTCTGGGAAAAGAACAGACGCCAAGAGATCTACAAAAGACTGTTGTAATAATCTGGGAAGAAATTATGAGGTCTATCATTAGAGGAAAAGCAGTGGGAATGGAGAAGAATTGTCAGAGTAAAATTGTATTCCAGAAGCAAAATTGATTGAGTCCTGTATTTAACTGGGCACAGAGAGTGAAGATGTTGCAGAAGCCTCTGATTATTTTAGCTTAGGTTATTACCGATTGAAGACATCCCTGATTATAAAATGCACCATTATTTTGTGTATCACTAAGAAATAAAATCTCTATTAAACTCTGACATAATACTTTATTGCTTAGAATTTTTATGTTGAACCAACTGAAAGAGCTATTTTAGATTTATTTAGACAGAGGTTTTAGAAGTCATATTTCACTCTTGTGGAAAGGAATATGTAAGCAAAATAAATCAGTTAAAACATTTCTAAAACACTTTTACATTCAGAATCTAATTCTTAGAAATCTCTTACTCAGAATTGTCAAAATCCATATTTTTCCATATATTATTGTCCTCAGTGCCAACAAGAGTTCTCCACTATTGTTTCTGAGATTTTCTTTGAAGTTGTAAGCTTTGAAGCTGGCACTTTGTTGACTTACAAGAAGGTGTCAAAAGAAAGCTTTTAGACAATGTCTAGGATTTATATGACTTCAAGCGATTCTTAAAACTTTTCTTGACTAAAATATCAAGGAATTACCATTGTTCAGCTATATCAACTGGAATAAGTAAGACATTCATACTTGCAGTAGCAATGAAAACTGTATTACAACTGTGTCCTAAGCCAACAACAATTGCAAGATGTCATCAATTTAAGTCATATCCTGATTCCAGAGCTTGAAAATGGGGGAGGAAAAGTGCACTGTAGAATTGATAAAATATGGAGAATGATGATATTAAATAACATAGGCAACACAGGGATGGCAAAGATTCAAATTAAATAATTTCATTGTCATTTAAGTGGAAACACGAATGTCCTACATAAACTCTAAGAAAATTATAAAGTAATATGTGATAATGGAGATTTTGAACATATCCTTCCTTAAACTATGTGCTATAATATTTTAGTGAGATTACTTTGGTAAATTGGTGAGTTAATAAAGTGTATGTCCATTTGTCTGAAATGTATACCGAAGCTCCCTGTATTTCCTTTCTTAGATACTCTTCTAGGGAGTGTAATATGCACCTTCTTTGACAAATCACACTTGGGCCAGGCAGCAGGATGCACAGAAGCACTCCTGGCTGCTCCTGTAAAGTACTGGATCTAAAGAAAAGGGCAAGCCTCATAGGTGCACTCACCAGGCTCCGCTTGACACCTAGAAGATTTTCATTTTTAAAAAACCATTAAGCTCTGTTAGATTTGTCAGAGCCTGTACAAAAAGTACTTTTTAAAAAATGAAGGTTATTTAGGCTGGTTTCCATTACCTGCCATTTGAAGAATTTTAAGTGACAATCTAACGAGGGTTAGAGGAAACCAGGCAGTGAAGAAGAAATTTAAACTGCTCTTTACTTTGTATTACTTTTTAGTTAGCAAAGTTTTGCAATTACTAGTCTCATCTTGAACTCATGTATTTCAACTATAGTTTTTCTGTTCATTTTTCCTCATAACATTAATAGCAGTGAATGAGGAAGTAGTTATTTTTAATTCCAAGTTGACACCTTGAAAACATAGTAAAACAGATGGTTTTTCAGCAAAATTTAATTAAGCAGTAATAAACTTATATGATAAGTGGGAGTGGATGTCATGTGCCCACTTTGGAGAGTTAGACAAAACTAAGTTCAAAGAAGAGCATTACGACCTCCTCAGTGCATGAATTTGGCAAGTTACCTAACTTAGTTGAGCTTTCAGTCTTTATTTGCAAAATGGATATACCAATATTTTATTTGTTTAGATTAAATAAGATAAATAATATAAAATTCCTTGTACATAGAAGGCACTTCCGTAAGTAGTGGCTACCATATCAGCATCAAATAGCTCAGCCATTAGAGGAACTCCTTAGTTTACACAGGGCATCTTTACCTTTGGGGTCTGAAGGGGCATCAGCAAGTCAGGGTAGATAAGATTTACCTGCTTTGTGGCTGGGCGCAGTGGCTCACGCCTGTAATCCCAGCACTTTGGGAGGCTGAGGCGGGTGGATCAGGAGGTCAAGAGATTGAGATCATCCTGGCCAACATGGTGAAATCCCGTCTCTACTAAAAATACAAAATTAGCTGGGCGTGGTGGTGCGCACCTGTAGTCCCATCTACTCTGGAGGCTAAGGCAGGGGAATCGCTTGAACCCGGAAGGCAGAGGTTGCAGTGAGCCGAGATCGTGCCACTGCACTCCAAGCTGGTGACAGAGTGAGACTCTGTCTCAAAAAAAAAAAAAAAAAATATATGTGCTTTGTTATTTCACACATATTCATATGAACATATTTCATATGTTCAACCTAGTATTATTTAACTTGTTCAATATGCCAGCTAGTTACCTGCTGTTTTGCTTTTTCCATTACTGCTTTAAAAATGTCATAAAAATCCATCATTGCTGGGATAGGAAGCCAGTTTGGATAATTTTTTTAGTGCTTTGCTTTCCAATGGTGTTTTATTTTTTGACTATCAAAATAAGTTGAATGGTTACTATAGCAAATTATAAAAATTACGGGGCAAATTTTTAAAAGCATAAGAAACAACAAGTGATAAATAAGCTGTGAAGTACATTTCCATCTTTATTGACATCACTGAATCCTGCCTTGTGTCTATTTGTGGTATGATGAAGAAACAGTGGGAAAGCAGTCCCTATGTCTGAAATATTGCCCTTTCCTGTGTGTTGAATACAACTCAGTTTAGAAAGATGGCTTAGATGCTGAGACTACATGGAGGGATATAGGTTCTAAATAGAGGAGTTGAAGGTTGTCCCAAGATAATGTTTAATTATCTCATACATTGCATTGCACATTCACTCACTTTATCCTCTAATGTTTTTGTCTGAAAATGAGAGGTGAACACATTCAAAATGTGGTATGATTTATTATTCTTGGCAACTGTTGAGATTCTTAATCCCACCTACTAGAATTATACTGAAAATTTTCAGAGTTATATGTCACTCACTGATAAAAACTAATTTGACTTTAGGTACCAACGTACTTGTCCTTCCAACAATAACTTTTTTTGAGATGAGTTGTGTGCATTTTGTGGGGATAAAGAGATAAATGCAAGTAATTGAAAAGTGCAATTTACATATGTAATTTAATTTTCACTTAATGGCTGAAATTCAAAATGAGAACAAATTCACTGTTGTGGTTTGATTTTAGGTTTTTTAAACAAGGTTGTACGTCAAGTGTTTTAACTCTAGTTTATATAAGTTAAACAAAGACAAAATAAAGAGAGCTTTACATTGATTAGGTCTCCCCTTTATGGAATTCAATCATTAATAGTCACCTTTAATTTTATGTTTGCCAAAGCTAGAACAAAACCAAACATAACTGATATGTATTAGAGAAATATTTAATGGTAAGAAATGACCTTGTATTTTTAGAGAAAGATATAAAGAGGGGTGTGTGTGTGTGTGTGTGTGTGTGTGTGTGTGTGTGTGTGTGTGTTGGGGGATAAGTATGTACAAAAAATTTAATCTTTAAAAATGAATGTGTTTCAAGGAAAGGGTGGAGAAGCTGACAAGAAGCAAATAGAAATGTGAATGCATTGGTAAAGCAGGAGTTCAGAATACAATCAGATAGATATTTTTGAAGATAAATTTACTTACTTTTTTGAATAACATGTTTACTTCCTGAAATGCAAGTTACCTTTTTTTCTCCTTCAATAAAACTTGTTTATCTTGTTCTACAGCAGCCAAAGGCTCAGAGAGAAATAATTTCTCCAGAATGTTTTGTTCTGGAAAACAGGGTCATTTAAACACCTGGTAACCTGCTGAAGCCTCAAACATTCATAGCCCATAGCCTGTATATAGATGAAAGGATTTTCAACCTTTTGATATTCACTACCATTTCATCTTTGAAGAGAAGAATACTTGCCTAATTATATTTTTTAAAGAAATATGGATGTTATTTAGCCACTGGGTTGGAATAAACTTGGATATTTCTTTTGTGTTCTGTGAACTTCTACCCTGCTGCTGAGTATAGGCAAATACTCTCACATTTCTCAAAAGGTATGCAGCAGTACACTAGCCCTTTATACCATGTTCTTTAAAAAAAAAGTATTATGTGACTTAAATGAGTTTGGGATACATTGTGAATAATGGTCTCTTTCTCAGGATTTCATATCTTAAATGCTCCAAGAAGCAGTGCTTTAATGAAACATATTTAGCTTTAACATGGCAACTCCAAAATGTCTTTGACCATTAATATAAAAAGAGAGACAGAGAGAGACAAGACATAGTCTGTCTTTACATACACTCTACTTTTCTTCCTCATCATACAGTTTTTTCCTCTGCTGATGGGGCAGAAGAGAAAAGGAAAATACCAATGTCTGTTTAACAGACTGTCTTTACAAGTGGCTATAATTTCTATTCAGGTTATCATCATCATCTTGTAAAAGAAGTGGTGGCTTTGTTAAGGGACTCACTCCCAGCAGCTTCTGGCTTTGGTGGCCCATCAGAAACTTAGCTGTAAGTTTTTGCTGACTGGTAGCTGGCAATATCATATTGTTTTCCTCTGAAGCATATGCTTCTCTGTATTATGTTGTCACAGTCCCTTGCAAGGCTAAAACCCCAATCTCATCTACCTACTGAGGCCAACTCGTGAGTTTCAATCTTCCATGGGAACTGGTGACTTGGAGAAGGGGAAGTCCTGGACCATTTCACCTGGTTCTGCTAAATGCCACCTCTCAAGATGCCTTTCAGAATGGTGGCTGGCCCCCCAAACCAGCTTTTCCTGAACTCAGAGCATGGACTTTTGGTGTCTTTGTTTCTCTGCTGTGGCCCCCAGGCCAATTCTAGCACTGATCAACTAACAACTCCTTGCTTCATGAACAACAGAAATAATAACCCAACAGTTTGCACAGCATATTACAGAACTGTTTAACTGAGGAATCCCCATTTTCACCCTAAAAAAAATTCTGGGAAATAGTGTATTTAGCCATATTAGGTATGATAGAATAAAATATACCAGTTATACACTTCACACCATAAACTTCTTTTCTAAGAAGTCCAAGAAATAAAACTCCTCTTTCTCCCCATGTTTTGTCACTTTGTGTTTGGAAATCCTAGCATCAGTCTCATTAATCCTCTTCAGGGTTGTGTTATGTCTTTGAGAGATGATGTGGCAACAAGGTGATACGGTAATGGGGAGAGGGACATATAGGATATTGCTAGGATGTTCATTGATTTAGTCAGCAAGGCCTTTAAGGTCTAGGCAAACCTTTCATCTTCTCTGCTACTCTTAGAACCTGGGATTCCCTTTGGGACACTGCTCAAGATCCTGTTTGTCTTCAGCCATATTCTCAGAAAGTTATTCAAAGCAACACCATTTTCTCCTCCCATCCCTCTGATTCAAGGACATTTTATCAAGTTTCCAGGCATTTTTCTCCCTCATGTTTCTGTCCTAGATATTTAATCTATGTTTTAAATCCTCTTACATCCCTTCTCTGAGACAATAAAGACTATCTTTTATTTGTCTTAATTGAGGGAGTGGAAAGAAGGAAAAACTGGGGCAGGAACTATACCATAATAGCAGAAAAAAATATTATCTTGACACATTCTTATAAAAATTCTGTTTTTCTGCTAATAAATTTTACTTTTCATCTAGATGTTACCCTCCACCCCATCTCAAGAGTGTGAGACATGTGTCTCTGGCCCCAAACAGATTTTTGAGGACTGTAACTCTTACTCTAATAGCAGTGGCTGGCTGTGTGGTGGTTTTTCTCCACATGTGGAATACAGGAGCCTCATTATAGGAGAGACATATCACCTCCTTTGTCTGTGGGTCACTATGTGTTCCCTCAGGAAGGTCACAGTCCTGCTTCATAGGAAGCTCAGCTATAGGTTCAAGTGGAATGTTCCTTGTTTGGAATAAACCCTTGGCAGGCCTCACATAATTGGTGGGAAGTTGAGGCAAGGAATTGGAGGTGAGGAACAATGGGCAGTTCTCCAACCTGACTCCACTTATAACTTTGTCTTCTTCATAGAGTTCTGGTGCCAGAAAAGAGAAGCGATTGAGCCTGGCTCTTGGGAGCCAGTGAGGCTCCACTCTCTGCTCCTGGTCTCATTTCTTGAGATTCCTACAGCCACCTGTATCAGCAGACCAAAAGTTGCAGCAACCGACACCTCCCTGACTACTATATCCCCAAACATGAAAAGATTAGCCCTGCAGTCTTTGAAAGGGGAACGTTTACCCTAAAAAAGTCCATCTGCTCCATAATCATGGCAAAAAGAAGAGTGCTTACAATTTTCTAAATCTCAGAAATACGATGCTGTCATGCCATGCTGAGCAGAGTTCTCACTAGGAATTCTCCCCTTATTCTTAGTGTCTCCATTGGTGCCCACAGGCCACCACATAGGAAGCAGCTTTAGTGTTTGCCCTTTTGGGGGAACACAACTATTGCTTTTCCTTGGGCCAGGATTGGGAGTCTGGTCCATCAGGCTTCCCATAAAGCTAGAAAAATGCCAGTCAACATGTCACATGTATACATATGTAACAAACCTGCATATTGTGCACATGTACCCTAGAACTTAAAGTTATATATATACACGTATATACACGTATACGCGTATATACGTGTATATACACGTATACGCGTATATACGTATATATACATATGTATATATACGTATATACACGTATATACACGTATATACACGTGTATATACATACGTATATACACGTATATACACGTGTATATACATACGTATATATACATATGTATATACGTATATACGTGTATATACGTATATATGTATATACACACGTGTATATATGTATATACACACGTGTATATGCATATACACACGTGTATATATGCATATACACACGTGTATATATGCATATACACACGTGTATATATGCATATACACACGTGTATATATGCATATACACACGTGTATATATGCATATATACACACGTATATACGTATATGTATATATGTATATATACATATATATACGTATATGTGTGTATATATACGTATATATGTGTACGTATATGTGTGTATATATACACATATATGTGTATATATATGTGTGTATATATATACATATATATATATATGTGTGTATATATATGTATGTATATATGTAATGAAAAATGCCAGTCAGGACTTACAGGTGTGCTGAGAGGCCATGATAGTGCAAGAGCCTGAGCCAGTGTCCCTGGAATCACCCAACTTGTGCTCAATTCTTTTTTATTTTTTTTTTTCAATTCCGCATTGAAAATAAGGATTTAAAAATCATCTTTAAAGTTTGCATTTTTATTTTCTTGAGAATCTTGCAATTTAGTGATGTCAGCAAATTGATAAGGCTACACTGACCTTTCTTCCTTTTCTATGCCCAGAGTTACAGGGCATTTTATAGAACTCTATGGCCAGTCTCATCACAGTCGACTGGTATTTCTGAAATCATTAATAAATGATGAGATCTTATAAAATGGTGGTTAAGAATGTAAGCTCCAAATTGCTTGGATTTAAATACTCACTCTACCAGTTATTAGAAGTGTAGTCTTGTACAAGTTAATTAACTGCCACATGCTTTATTTTCTTCATCTAAAGTAGCTGTATCCAATGTACTTATGATGAAAATGACACTGAAAATTTAAGTGACTAATAATGCATTTGTAACAACATAAAAAAATCAAATACTGAGGAATAAACTTAATAGCATAAAAATCTGCAGACATAAAATTGTAAAGTACTGTTAGAAAAATTAAAGAAGACCTAAATAAATGAAGAGATAGACCATGTTCATTGATTGTATTGAAAATGGATCTGTAGATTAAATGCAATGCCAATCCAAGTGATATCTTATTTTGTTCTTTGTAGAAGTTGGCAAGGTAATCCTAAAATTCATATGGCAATGCAAAGAAGTAGGGATAACAAGACCATTTTTAAGAAAAAGAAAAAATAATTAGAGGACTTTGTGATGTTAGCATAAGGACAGACTAATAGACTAATGGAACAGAGTAGAGAATCCTGAAACAGAACTACACATATAATGACAAAAATGAAAGCCATGCAAAGCAGTGGGAATAGGGTGATCTATTCAATAAATTGTACTGCATCAATTAGATATTTATTTGGGAAAAATAATGAAATAATTTCTACTTTAAACCATGAAAAGTCAAGGGATTACAAATTGAATATGAAAAGTAAAGTAATAAAATTTCTAAAGGGCACTAAGGGAGCATAGTTTCATAATAGGGAACAATTCTTAAATAGAACACAAAGAACACCATAAAAATGATGAATAAACTATACAACAATAAAATCAAACACTTCCGGTCTACAAAAGATACAATTAAGAGGGATATGACAGGTCACAAAGGGGAAAATACTTGCAACACTTGTAACTGGTAAAGAGTTTGTGTCCAGCATATACAAGAAACTCCTACAGATCAATAAGCAAGTGACAGTACAATAAAAGATGGGGAAAAGATCTGAACAGATATTTCATAAAAAAGACACATATAACTATATGAGAGGCTTCTTGAACCTTAGACTTTAGAAAAATACATACTAAAACCACAATAAGATAAATATTAGTATATATATACTTTTATGCCCACCTAGTATGTATATATTGTGTATAGTGTTTTATATACTGCTGGATACTATTTGCTAATATTATGGTAAAAATTTTTGTGGCTATATTTATGAGGGGTATTGGTCTACTGTATTTCTCTTGTTTTGACATCATGGTAATAATAGTGTATTAGTCAGGGTTCTCCAGAGAATCAGAACCAATAGGATCTCATTCTTAAAAAAAAATCAAAACGATTGAATTCATGGAGAGAGAGAGTACAGGAATGGTTAGTAGGTTCTGGGAAGGGTAGTGGGGGTCGAGTGGCAGGTGGGGATAGTTAATGGATACAAAAAATAGAAAGATTAAGATCTGGTATTTGATAGCACAACAGGGTGACTATTATTAAATTATTAGTAAATAATAATTTAATTGTACATTTAAAAATAACTAAAAGAGTATAATAGGATTGCTTGTAACACAAAGAATAAATGCTTGAAGGGATGAATACCCCATTTTACATGATGCGATTACTACATATTGCATGCCTATATCAAAACATCTCATGTACCCCATAAATATACACACAAAATTAAAATTAAAAATTAAAAAAAGAACCAATAGGTTCTCTCTCTATACATAAATTTTAGGAGATTTCTCTCTCTCTCTCTCTCTGTCTCACTCTCTCTCATATATATATGTATATATATGTATGTATACATACACATATGTATGTATATACAAATATATACATATACACACATATAGTTTCATAAAATAAATTGGGAATATATATGAGGATATTTATGATGGGAATTGGCTCACATAATTATGAAGGCCCAGAAGTCCCACAATATGCTATCTCCAAGCTGGAGAACCAGAAAAGCCAGTGGTGTAATTCAGTTTGAGTCCAAAGTCCTGAAAACCATGAAAGCCGATGCTGCAACTTCCAGTCTGAGGCTAAAGGACTGAGAACCATATGTGTGAGGAGGAAATGCTGGTGTTAGTCCTGGAGTCTGAACACCAAGAACCAGGAGCTGCAATGTCCAATGGCCGAAGAAGATGAATGTCCCAGCTCAAAGAGAGGAAAAAAAAAACACAACAAAACTGCCCTTCCTTCAACTTTTTGTTCTATTCTAGCCCTCAATGGATTGTATCATACTCACCCAAATTGGTGAGAACATATCTTTTTACTTAGTGTATGGGTTTAAATGCTAATCTGTACCTACCCTCACAGACACACTCAGAAATAAAGTTTTGCCAGCAATCTGAGCATTCCTTAACCCAGTCAAGTTGGCATATAAAATCAATCATCACAACTAGTTTCATAAAATAAACTGGGAATTGTCCCATTTTCTCCTATTTTCTGGAGGAATTTTGTGTAGAATTGGTGTTAATTCCCCTCTAATTCAAGAGTTTGGCAGAATTTTCCAGCGAAATCATATGGGCATGAAGGTTTCTTTTTTGGTAGTTTTAAAATTATAAATTCCATTTCCTTAATAGTGTAAACTAAAAATAAAATCTTAAGCCCCCAGTGACTGAATGGACTCCCTTTTAGCCATAGGGACCTCAGAGAAACCTTAAAACCTGAGTTCCCAGTTATGATGGGAAGGGTGGTTAGACATGCCTCATTTTACCCTCTCCCTTTTGGAATATGGACACAGCTGAACAGAATTAATGTTAAAATAGACATCATAAGACAAACAAAACAGGTTATTTGTGACAATAAGATACGAAATTACAAAGAGGACCTAAAGCCATGTTAGGCAAGGATTAAGTCAGGCCTGCAGGCCAGGCCATCAGTTTTGCTAAACAAGTCATTTTATTGTGGCTGACTCTGAGAGGGCATAGTATCCTAACTTATATACTCCTTTTGGCTGACTCCAAGTTTCAGACAGAGCCTTACTCTTTAACTAACTGCAAAGTAAAGAATCTCTGAATCCACCTATGACTGGTAAATCCCTGCTTCAAAATATCCCAACTGTTTGGGCCAAACTGATGTATACCTTCCGTGTATTAACTTATGTCTTTGTCTGTAACTCCTGCATGTCTAAAATACATAAAACCAAATGTAATCCAACCATCTTAGGGCCACTTACTCAAGGCTTCGTGGGTTTGTGTTTTTCCCAGGCCATGGTCACTCATGTTGGCTCAGAATAAACCTCTTAAAATATTATACAGAGTTTGATTTTTCCGTTAACAATAGAGATATGCAAATTATCTATTTCATATTATCTATCAAATAATCTGTTTGTGGTTTTCAAACAAGTAATCCATTTCACCAAGGTCTCAAACTGATGTGTGTAGAGTTGGTCACAGTAATTCTTTATTATCCTCCCACTGTCTGAGGGATCTGTAGTGATATCCCCTGTTTCATTCCTGATATTGATAACTTGTATCTTCACTTTTTTTATTTCTTCAATCTTTGTAGAGGGTTGTAATTTTCATTGATATTTTCAAATAACCAGTTCTTTGTTTCAGTTATTTGTTTCAGTTCTTTGACTTATTTTTCTCTTTAAATTTCATTTGTTTCTGTTCTTATCTTTGCTATTGCCATCTGTTTTGATTACTTTGGGTTTCCAATGCTTTTCTTTTTCTTTTTTTCCAATGCTTTTCTTTTTCAAAGCATTGGAATGTTCTAGATATAATGTTAGATATAATGTTCTAGCTTCTTGAGGTGGGACGTCTAAAATTGTTTCAACACAACTGTATGTTTAAGAGTTGTCATAATAAAATGTTGGGGTAAAAAAGACGCAACTCAAGCATTAGTATCTTTCCTGAAATGTCTTTCCTGACCTTCACTCCCATTTCTACTCTAGTATAAGAGTTTCTATTTTCTCCTCCCTTGAGCTCCTGTAACGCCTTGCACATATTTTGACTATTGTATTTTAGTTATCTAATTGAATTTGCCTTTTCCATTAAACTTCAAGCTTCTCAAGGGTATGAACTATGAAAATTACCTTGGTACAGATGCTCCTTGACTTGTGATGGGGTTACATCCTGACAAACCTATGGTAAGTTGAAAATACCATAAGTTTGAAATTCATTTAATATACCTAACCTAGTGAACATGAGAGCTTAGCCTAGTCTACGTTAAATGTGCTCAAACACTTACATTAGCCTACAGTTGGGCAAAATCATCTATCTATATATATATTGAAGGGTAATGTTTAGAAATATATTCCAAAATACAAAATTTTTCTTAACAGCCCTAAACTGGAAACAATCTAAGTGTTCATTAATGATAGAATGAATAAATTATAGTAAAATGCAACAGCAATAATAAATCTCACAAACATAAGTTGATTGAAAGAAATCAAATACACAAAATAATATATAATGTGTGATTCACTTTATATGAATCTTAAAGATGGGCAGAACTAACTGATGTTAGAAATCTGCATAGTGGTTACCTTCGGGAAAGAAGGAGTTCATGATTGGACGTGGCATAAAGGAATTTCTGGGGTTCCTAACTTGGCTGTATTTGAGTTGTGATAATTCGTCAGACAGAATACTATGATTTTATGTAAATATTACATGTAATTTCTGTATGTACATTATATAATTGAAAAGCTGTTTTTTAAAATTGATAAAACCTTCAAGAGAACTTGGCATTCATTGTTTATGAGGAAGACTTCAAGACCCTTCTACCAATAATTGATAGATAGACCAAGTGGAAAAACATGTTGAGGATACAGAAGATTTGGACAATAAAATTAATAACTGTACTCAATAACTGGAGAAGACAAGAAATGCTTATAAAATTTAACGAGATATAATGTCTTAACATTCTATCTGTACCTTAAATCCTTTCCCTTCTCTGGGGTTCAGGCTTTTGGTTTATAAAGGCCAGATAATCACAGTTTGCTTCGTTTTTATCCTGTAACATATTCTCTAAATCAATGAACTCAAAGTAAGTTGCTTGAACTGTGGAACAGACAATGAGAACTCCAGATAGAAAACAGTTAGAAGCTAATATCTCAAAATATTTCTTAAACCCTTATCTTATACCAAGCACTGTGTTAGCTTGTAGAGATACAGAGATACATGATACAGGATTTCTGCCTTTGAGAAATTAACAGTGTAGTAGAGGAGACTGATATGTAAAATTATGATATCCATTGGTGTACTGGAAATGACATAAGGGCTCATGAGAACCAACTGTTAAACATTTGGGATTTTTTTGCCAGCCAGTTGTTAAGCCATTGATAGCTTCAAATCGGTTATGGTGGATGTGTTTATACCATGGAAATTGACAAATGCTACAAATCTGGGCTTCCCATCCCCCTAGGGAGCTTGTTTACTAGCACACTACTGATTATATCATAAAACAACCTGATAAGTGTTTTGCAGTGCAAAATGAACCATGTGTTATGGGAACACAGAGAATGTATCAATGAAGGAGGAGGAGACAGTTCTATTCCTCTAGTGGAAACCTATCCCACTAGATAGGCTCAATTTGACTTGTCTGAAAATAAGTGAACAGAAGTTGGTCAGAATTATAAAAGTTGCTGTGATATTTCAATTAGAGGGGGTTGGATATGAAAATTCTGGAGATACAAAAGAGTCATGTGTCAGGGACTGGGCTGCAGCATATGCTTGTTTAGGTTGTGCACTACACAGAAGCATCATATCTAATGAGTTTTAATTCATATCTATTTTATTTTTCATCTTGCATATTTTCACTATAACTGTGTTTAATCCAGAGATGGGTGATTTGTATATTTATGGCAATTTTCTGGAATTTATTATAGCAAATAAATGAAACAATCTCGTTTCTATAGAGTTGGTTTTGATTGCCCTGTTTTGACTTAAAAAGGTAATGCGAATTCAATACAGGTTGCATTGATCTATTGTAACCTGTGTTTCTAAAACAGGAGCTTTTTTCTCACTAGTAGGGGGGCATAGCTTTACATTAAAAAAATTGCCTGATTGTTTATTCTGGATAATTCTAATGCTTAATTTTGCAGTTAATATCATCTAACATTACTCCACCAGAAGGTTTGCTGAGTTCCCAGTTTAAACCTACAAGCACTTTCACTAAGAAATGACTCACATGTAATCTTATTCAATAACTAATATTTATTTAATAATAATACATTTGTTGTAACAAAATCCAATAGCAGTAACAATTTAATTTGTTGTTAAAAAGAAAAAAAGGGGGGAATCTAGAGTGGATATATGATATGTGATGTAATTGCTGAGAGAACCATCCAATGACTTTATGTGGGTACATGAGGGTATGGAATTCATTGTGTGGGGCTTTACTCATACACAATCTTTAGAAAATTTATACTTAATATATACCCATTTAGATACATTTTTATTAGCAACTTTATGAATGTCATCTGAACAGGTCCCAGTTGATGACTTCCACTATTTGCATAACTTATTATTGCCAAATTATTAATTGGTAATGGTTTAGGGAGACTGAAATAAACTGGCAATATTTAATTTTATTTCCAGAAATGTAGTGATGTATAAACAAGACAAATTTCTCAGAGCCATAGTTCTGAATGATGGCTGTGGGATACAATCCCCCATGACCTGCCCCCTTATACTTATGGCTGTAATAAATGAGAAAATTCCCACAAAGGTGCTGCATGGGTAAGCAGCACCTGGCCAGGGAAAATAGGACTGTAAGGTACCAGTGGTCAGGGAGCGGGAATGGGGAGGCGGGCTGAAGAACTTCCATCTTATGTGCTAGTTTCTTGAAAGTTAAAATAGAATATTTTCTATTCAGTCATTCATTTATTTCTTAATTCTTAGTTGCCTATTATAGATGAACTAAATTCTGTAGAAAATATATGGAGCACATAATAGGGAAATGAGTAACATAGGATTGAATTAATGAGTACACAAAAACTTACTTAAAAACACCCTAACCCTTACAATCACAAGGGCTCTGGAAAATGCTCTTGTGGTTAGTACACAGTAAGTATCCAAACACAACAAGTAATACAAAATGATGTGAATTTATTGTCTAGAGGGCCTATATGAAATAAGGATGTTAAAATTACATTAAAAATAACTTCTGTTTTTATGTACCTTTTTAAGAAAAATTTTAATTGACTGTTTTATTTATGGTAGAATCACTTTGTTCTTCATTTTAAAAGTGAGAAACTATAGGCCCAAAGAAATGTATTGGAATATCTAAGGTCATATAGCTTGTGACAGCAGAAATCCATCTTAATTTTTGGTGGTTGTCATACTTGCAGTGATTCCTGCAGATGTGGGTATTTTCCTTTTCATAATATAGAGTGAATTTGTCTGGGGGTCATCTATTAAAGGTGAGTGTAGTCAGCAAGTGGAGGGAATCTTGCCACCTGGTTGGAGGCCTAGAAGAGTTTGCGGAATGAAAAGGAGAATACCCCCCAAATTACCGGGATATCATGCCTATGCTTTTGAAGACTGTTGAATATTGTGATGGTCAGTAAACTTTTGACTGGGCTAGGACAGGTAATACATTTGCCAAGTGATAATAGGGATAGATACAAAGATTACTTAAATGCCTAAACAACTATATCTATGTGATTTTTGTGCCCCAAATTTACCTTTAAAATCTGTACAGTTGAATTAAAAACTGTTGTACTGTTACTGAGAACATTGCTATGTGTTTGCATTGTGGTAAAGTAGCCATTTATTCCACTTTTGGGGGGATATTTATTTTAATTCTTACACAGTTCTTGGAAGTAGTGTTTTGACTCATTGCCACCTGGTTTCCCAAAGAATAAAATATCTGATTGGTTGTTTTGGATAGCTATAACTGCTAAGCTCTTTTAGCTGATTAAGGAATTTTCTCATGTGGTAACATTCCTATCTTTTGGGATGTTACATACACTGCTTAAGGGCAAGAAGCATTTGGTTGTACTTTTGCATGTAAAAGCATAAGGGCTGTGATGCATGAACAGTGTTACCGGTAGGTGGCTGAACTGAGATGAGCTTGGGACTCCAAGGAAGCCTGGGATACACGGTCAATACTTATATCAATCCACACTTAAAGAGAGCCACACAAAAGCAACTTGATTTCAGATTGTCGTACCAAGACTCTAGGGGCAAAAGTTTCCTGTGAGTCAGAAAAAGAAAAAAAAAATCACAGGAAGTCAAAAGATTTGGACTACTGATTCTTTGTATCTAGGTAATCAGAATTCAAAGTCAGGATTTCACAGAAAATCCTGTGTCTAGTCTGTGCAATTAACCAAGGTGGCCCTATATTGGCTGTGGGTGAGTGGTACAATTGGATGAAACTTTCCTCCTCCTCCCTCACAAAAAGGCTCTGTCCCTTGTCCTTTGTCAGCTTTTAAGACACAACTTATCCCTCACAAAAAAGAACATATTCTATGATTTTTATTTGTGCAAACTTCTAAAACAGGACAAAACTAATATTTGGTGAAGAAAAAACAGTGGCTGTCTCAGGGTAAGGATTGACAAAAGTGGAGTGAGGGATCTTGCTGAAGTGATGGTAACTTTCTATATCTTGACAGGAATTTGGTTACACAGTTGTGCATGTATTTGTCAAGGCTCAGCAAATGTTACAGTTTGTGTGTTATGTTGTATATACATTTTATATTTAAAAAGCTGTTAGACACAAATATTGAACTCTGGTTAATGATATACATGCTGAAACATTTAGGAAAAGTGTAGTGATGAAATTTACTTTGAGACTCATCAAAGATAACATGATTTGATATATACATAGAGGATGGATAGATATGAAAAAGCAAGTATAGTGAAATGTTAATGGTAGAACATTCAACATTGCTAAACTTTTACAACTTTACTATATGTCTGAAATTTTTTGCAATAAAATATTTGGGGAGAAAAGACTCAACTCAGGCATTAGTTCCCTCAGTATGTCTTTCCTGACCCTCACCTCTATCTTTACTCTAGGAAAATGTGGGTTATTTCCTTTCTTTGAGTGCCCTGTAATGCCTAGCACTTAATTTCATTGCATTTTAGTTATCTGATTGCATCTGTCTCCTCTATCAAACTGTGGACATCTTGAGGATAGGGACTATGCAATTTACTTTTGTATCTGAAGCACTTGTGTAGGCACATAGTAAGAGCTCAATAAATAAAGTATTTGAATAAGTGATTATAAACATCACATTTTTTCCTGATCGCAGAGGATAGAGAGCCGGCCAGTACAAGAACAAGTAAAGACAGATATCATGAACCATAGAAATCACTGATAAAGTAGAAATATAAGAAATATAATATAGCATGCAGTAATTATGGCTTGCTCCACAGAAAGATGGAAGAAGGAAGAAAAATGTTGAGGGACCTGTTGAGAAAGCAGTAGTGGATGACAATTTGAGGACATGCTATTAGATGGAATAGGAAATCGCAAAACCCAGGATTGTCTCTATGGACAATGGGAAAATGTAAAAACAATTTACAGAGGTGAGGAACATGGCCTGAGAACAAGGCACAACTATACTGAAGCCTAAAAGGCACCTTGCAGGACAGTGAGTGACATTTTTCCCCCTTCTACATTTGTCTGCAAGATTTTTCATTTGCCTGCACTGATAAGTGGAATTAGAGGCTGTATGATTTGTTTAATGATCCAGAGAAAGACCCAGTGTAACAGTCTCGTTAGAGCTTCACTGAAGCATTAAGCAAGTGCCAATGTTAAGGTCTTTTTAGTTTAGTCTATGAGCACTGATTACTGAAACAAAGTTGAGACTGTGTGAGCAAAGCGAAACGAGGAATTGAATAATCAATCAACCAAACTCCAGGTAACTGGTCATTCCACGCAATTTACACACACAACAACCGTACATATGATTCTTCCTCAAGAGCATATTTTTATAATTAGCTCAATGCTCCCTGATATTCATTCTTTGAGTATCCAAATAGTGCCTACTGCTCTTCAACCTTATAGGTAGCTTTATTCATGTATCACTAGTGAAAACTACCAATCATTAGCTACAAGTGAATTGCCTCATTTATACTATCTGTTACAGTGGCACAGCTATAATTTTCCTATATCACTGATCTTTATTTAGTAATCTACCTTATTCAAATATTCAGTAACCTAAAACCAACTAACCAATTTTGCTTATAATTCCAAAATATTATCAAAATGGTGAGTTGCACATCCTAAGTGATGTTTGGTGTCCAAATATTGATACAAACAACATTGTGCCTGTTGTTTCAGGTTTCTTTATGTTTGGTTTTAAATATACTTTATCAATTAGTTTGACCACAGTTTCAAATAATAATTATATTTTTGGATTAATGGGGAACTCTGCATTTTAGGGTTAACCTCTTGTTTCTTTCAGTTTCCAGAAACTGTTTTCTTCAGTTTCTCAGAGACTGAGATCTCAGTCTCTCTGTATGATTGTGTGTATGTTAACAGAGTCAGAAACAATGGAGTTCACCTATTTCAAAGTCCTAATCAATATAAAATCCTCCTACAGCATTTTTGTCAACAGAACTATTTCTGCCAACTTTGTTTTTCTAAGTAGCAGAAGTATATGATTCAGGGTTACTGGAATTGTATGATAGAGTCTTACCTGGAGCTGAAGAGTTGTATTCCTAGAAAGCTTTTTGAAAAATGCAGCCTTTCCTGGATGAAAGCTGAGTGACAAAATGACTCCCAGAACTCTCTTTTGTTATGACCATGATCAACCGGAGAGTGAAACATCTATCTTACCTATCAGGCGGCTAAACAAAGCAACAATTGAAGGTTTAAGAAAAGAGGCAGCTAAACTGTTGGATTAATTATACTTTCTGTACTTGCTTGGGGGGCGGTGATGGGGTGGGGGAAGATTTCTTCCCTGCTTACCTAAATAGACATGGGCTAAGATTCTATTTTAGCTGGCTATAATGTACTTACTTGGAAATAACTTCCTAACATATGACTCCCCTTTCCCCACTATTAATCGTTCATCACAGAAACAATGAGGCCATGGCAGAGATCATTTCCTTCTCTGTCAGTGGTTGACTGGGTGGGTCTAATCAGGAGTTTGGAACCAGGGTGAGGAGAACCTGACTCAATTTCTTTGAGAGACTAATTTTTTTTTTCTTTTTTTTGAGACAGGGTCTCGCTTTGTTGCCCAAGTTGGAGTGCAGCGGCGCACTCTCAGCTCACTGCAGCCTCGACCGACTGGGCTCAAGTAGTCCTCTCACTTCCGCTTCCTGAGTAGCTGGGACCATAGGCATGCACCACCATGCCCAGCTAATTTTTGCATTTTTAGTAGAGATGAGGTTTCACCATGTTCCCCAGGATGGTCTCGAACTCCTGGGCTCAAAAGATCCACCCACCTCGACCTCCCAAAGTGCTAGGATTACAGGCGTGAGCCACCGTGCCTGGCCAACTATTCTTAAAATATGTAGGCTCAAAGCCTCTGGTGGGCATGATCTTCCTTTACATGGAGCAGAGATGTAGAGACAGCTATTACACAGAAATGAGAGTAAAGCGAATGTGTGGAAATTATCAGGTTGGTGTAAGCGTAAGTGCAGTTTTTGCATTACTTTTAATGGCAAGAACTGCACTCACATTTGCAGCAAGCTAATAGAAAACGAGGTGAAAAGAAAAGGGGTCTGAGTGAGAAATAATTCTGGACAGCATCCCGTGCTCTAGTTCTGGTACCTCTCAAGGCCATACTGCACTTCTGACCTTTGATTCTTGAAACAGTGCTTTATGCTTAAGCTAGCTGGCTTTTTTTTTTGTTGTTGTTGTTACTGGCAACCCAGAGAGTCCACAGTAGATTAGTTCAACATGCAACCTAAGAATTTACTTAAATTTCTGAACGACTTACGAGAGATACCAAAGAGATAAAAAGATAAAATTTTGCTTTGGATTAACTTAAAATCTTATTGGGAAAACAAGGCTTATGTTTATGACAAAACTCTGCACAACAATGCAGCATATTCCATAATGAGTATTTTGGGACATAATTATGTGCAGTAGAAAATGGAGAAATCTGTGTGGGCTCTAGCAGTGAAGGAAGAGATTGGAGGAATAATCTTTTATGTTAAACCTTGAATGATGAGTAGCATTTAGTTAAATAAAAAGTGAAGTGTGTTCTAGATTAAGAGATAAAGTAGCCAAGAATGACAGTAGTATTTGCAAGACTATAACTAAAGATGAAATTTGAGATGAAAGATGAGATTGGGTTGGGAGGGTGGAGTCAGATGACGGAGAGGCTTGAATTCCAAAATGAGGGATTATTTGCACTTTCTGTAATCAAGTAAAAGAGGAGTTGCAGACACTTGAGTAGTAGTGTAAAGTGACCAAATCTGTGTTTAAAAAGTTGAATCTCGCTGTGGTATGTTGTATAGTTTAGAGGCAAGTGTACTAATTTGGAAGATAGTTTATTTCTTACAGTTATTAGAGTGAGGTGAAAAATAGGACATGTGGAAGGAAAAACATAGTAACTTGAATCAGTGCTTCTCAAAATTACTGTATGCAAGAGTCACCTGGGGATCTTCTCAAAATGCAAACTTTTATTCAGTAGTTCCAGACTGAGGCCTGAAAATCTGAATTTCTAACCATCTCCTAGCTAATACCTATGCTGCTAGTCTGTGGATCGCACTGTGAGGGGCCAAGATTTGAAAATGATGATCTAATCTGGTGTGATGAAGGAAAGTAAAAGAGTCAAGGATGACCCCAAGGTTTCTAGTGTGCTACAGTTGACAGAAGAGAGAGAAAAAGGGAACTGGAAACATCTATTGAGTGACTACTGTTTGTTATTTTCTTTTATCCTGAGGCTCCATCTTACAAATAAATTCATTCATTCACCTAACACTTATTTCCTGAGTACCCACTAAGTGCCAGGCATTATTGTAAACCCTGTGGATTCAGTAATGAATAAAACAACTTAATAAGAAAACTCTGCTCACGATTTAAGGGGGAAGATAAATAAAATAATTAAAATATGTAGTATTAAAATTGGGAAAACCAAGTAAATAATCTTAAGTAACGTAGATATAACTTTGGCTGAGTCTCAGTCATACCAGTCACAGTGAACAACTTCTGCATAACACAGATATGACAGATTTACAAGACAGTCAAAATATATGTTGAAACTAAAACTATTTTTAAATCCTTTGAAAGGATTTTACTGAGTTAATAAAATATTGCTGAAAGGTCTAGATATTTTAGATGTGTTTCACTTGAACATATTTTTAATGAAAGCATGTACAAGAATGTGTAATGGAATATTTTGCAGCTTTTACAGTCATTCATCTCAGAACAAACATCTGTCTTGCTATTCAGTTGATGTATGGGCTAAGAGCTTATTTCCTATTTATAAGAGGCCTGCCTATACATTCCTCTTTGTTTCTTACCATAGATCACACAGAGGCATTTCTTTCCAAATCCACTGTAGAAATGTATTTCTATAGTAAATTGTAGGAAACACTATGGGATTAATTATTCAAAGAAAACAAAGAAACAGATTAAGAAATTTATGCTTGTATGTATATATCTATCTACATTTGTACTCCCACCATCTATGAATCTGTAAAAAAAGAATAAATAAAATGTAAACGGAAGCCTATTAAACAATAATTGCTATAAAACAATAGTTTCTCATCTTCAAAAATTTATATTTAAAAATTGCTAAATGTATCTTTGTTCACTAAGCACTTTAATTAACATCTATAACATGGTGATTATATTATTCAACATTTAAATGCTTAATTTGCAATCTGGAATTGCAGGCATTCCCTGATAAAGATATATTTTCATTTGTTGCATTTGTATTTTTAGTAGAAGGCAAAAATAAGAAGATACTTATATGGTAATATGATACTAGATCTGTAAACAAAAGTTTTAGTCACTCTTTTCCACGGCACTTGAGATTTAAAACACGGTAACAGTATTTTTATGTGTTGAAATGTCGGGTATTTTCATGTTATGAGAGGTTTGAAGTGCTGTACCTGCCATCTACTGGAAGTCTATGGGAGGTACATTTCCCTACTAGCAACTTAAGGCCTCCAGAGAGTCTAGAAAATGCTATCAGTGCTATTGAGGAAATTGTATCACAGGCTGTGAGGTCCTTTATTGCTGCTAAAGAAAATTAAAGATAAAATTATCTCATTAATCACTGGTTAAAGTACAAAATGGATCCATTTAAATTTCAGTAGGCGAAGTATAAAGAGTGGTTCACTTTTGAAATGTTATGGTTACTAGAAGGCCAGGAGCAGAGACTAACAAATGTCCTTCCCAGCATTCTTACTAAAGACAGCGCTGTAGCCCTGGAAAAATACGTGCATAAATTATAACTATTGCAAGTAGCTCTTAGCATCTAGGGTAGCCAGGCTTCTGAGATCTTCTCTAGTAACTTCTGTTTAATATTTCCGGGCTCATCTGGATTGTGAGAATAAGGGTAAGTGTACATGCAGGAGAAGACAGCATAAGCGGAGACTAGCTGAAATGTTGAAGTACTGCAAAGAATGAAACACCATAGTTAGTTCTTGAAATACATGCTTTGTGACTATATTTAATTCTTTCAACTATGCTCTGGGTTAGAATAGTTAACTCCAGATGTTCATATAACCTAGACACCTACAATTCCAGTTTCCTAGACTTTTCCTATTCAAATAATGTCGGTACATTTTCTTATCCTAAATAATTTAAATCTATCTAATGGCTCTTTTTTTTTCCTGAGTTAAAGAAAACAAACAAACAAAAAAGAAAACAAATACTAAGGGTTACTTAATTCATCTTTTATGAATGACTTTAAAAATTATGATTAGATAAACTTAAAAACATAAAATCTTTTAGCTTTTAATCATTCTGTACTTTCTGGTAACTAGAATAAATTCTTAGAAGTAAGCTCTAGAATGACATGATCATACTCATTTACAGTGTGAGGGTTTCATATGGATAAAGATTAATAGTGGCACTAAGAGGTAGAATAATTTAACTCAAGGTCATGCAATTTAGTGGCAGAGCTTAAACTATAATCCAGGTTGTTTTACTCTAGTCACTTGCTATATCTACTACCTTGTAGAAAATTGAAAGATTAGTAAACTGATGATTGCCTTGAATGTAATTATAAAATATATATCGGACTTGAAATTAAAATAGGCATGCCCTTGAGCAATTGTCATGTGAGAGAAGGGAAAGTAGGGGAGGAAGTATGAAGACATTTGCCAGAGGTGTCCTTGGCATTCTTTGAAATTCAAACAAGGAGATCATTCTCCGCGTCAGGGTCTCAGACTTAAATTAGGCCTCCCTTTACTTAAGCATACTGGAGAGAACACATAAAGGCAAAGGTGTCTGGGATTAGAGAGAAAGTTAGAAAGACAAGTGGCAGCCAGATATTTCTAAGGCTAAGTGATGACACAGTAGAAAGTCTATGTCTAGCAATATGACAGATTGAAGACCCTGAAAATCCTACTGTAAACACCTGTAAGTATGGGATAAAAACATAATGAGCATTGTTTAAAACGCATAGCCAAACTCACAAAGAAGTATGTAAAATCCCCTGGGGCTAAAAGCAAGGAGAAAATGGAAAGACAGATTAGTAAATGGATGCTGACACTTTGTCAGCTTGAGTTGGGAGTTGGGAGGAGTATTAGTCAGTCTTGCTATTGAAGGGAGTTGAATGAACATGATGGATCGAAAGACAAGGCCTTGGAACTGCTTGAGTTGGGGAGTTGGACTGGCAAACTCTCACTTCACAGACACATTCATAAAGCCAGGACAGATAAAGGGCTCTGCCCTACAGGAAAGGGTAGATAGGGAGAAATCTGTCTACTAGCAAAGTGAAATGACCTTGTTGAGTTGACCTGGGATCTAGATAGGAAAGAAAAGGCTACATCAACACTTTGCAATCACAGAAAGAGCAAATTAGACCCTGGGAGCTTCAGATAATTAAAAATCAAAACACATCACAACATGTTTAAACTGATTAAAATAAATAGAGGAAAAAATCAAAAGTCTAAGAAATTAATGCTATCAAAATACACAGAATACTTTGCAGCAATTTAGAAAAACTAGACCTATATATGCTGATATGTAAAGATCTTCAAAATTTATTATTTTCAAAAAGCTAGATATAAAAGCATCCTAGAGGGTAAGTCCATTGTTGTTGGCCATTGTTTTTTTTTGAGACAGAGTCTTGCTGTGTTGCCCAGGCTGGAGTGCAGTGGCGTGATCTGGGCTCACAGCAACCTCTGCCCCCTGGGTCCAAGTGATTCTCCCACCTCAGCCTCTCGAGTAGCTGGGATTACAGGTGCGAGCCTGATTGTTGTATTTTTAGCAGAGATGGGGTTTCACCATGTTGCCCAGGCTGGCCTTGAACTGCTGACCTCAAGTGATCAGCTTGCCTTGGCCTCCCAAAGGGCTGGGATTACAGGCGTGAGCCACTGTGCCCGACCCCATTGTTGTTTAAAAGAATTTAAAAGGCACTTGTGTGTTTGCTTTAAGGATGTTCATTTTCTTTATATTTAATCCTAATTAACTGTGTTATTCCCTCTAATTTATATTGAACATAATAAAACATGATTGCTAGTGAAAAAAATTGGACCAGGCAAATTTGAAAAAAAAAGAAAGGCATAAAACGTACTTGTAGAAATAAAAAATCTGGGCCGGGCGCGGTGGCTCACGCGTGTAATCCCAGCACTTTGGGAGGCCGAGGCGGGTGGATCATGAGGTCAGGAGATCGAGACCATCCTGGCTAACAAGGTGAAACCCCGTCTCTACTAAAAATACAAAAAATTAGCCGGGCGCGGTGGCGGGCACCTGTAGTCCCAGCTACTCGGGAGGCTGAGGCAGGAGAATGGCGTGAACCCGGGAAGTGGAGCTTGCAGTGAGCCGAGATTGCGCCACTGCAGTCCGCAGTCCGGCCTGGGCGACAGAGCGAGACTCCGTCTCAAAAAAAAAAAAAAAAAAAAAAAAAAAGAAATAAAAAATCTGGTCACTGAAATTTAAAAACGATATGGATGAAGAAAGAATTAGTGAACAGAAAGTTAAATTTGCAAACTGAAGAAAGTTCACAGAAATATACAGAGGTCAAGAGATGAAAAAATATGAAAGAATAAGAGACATAGAGGTAAAATGAGAAAGTCCTACATAAATTATAAAGAAGTTTCAGAGGAAAATGAGAATGAGAATCTATTTATTAAAATGGCTGACTATTTTCCAGAAGTGATAAAATACTCCAGTCCTCAGATTCAAGAAGTCCCATAATTCCCAAGTTGCCTCTACAGCATCAAAGTCAAATAAATACTTTTTAAAGCAAGACAAGAGACAGACTACCATCAACAATTAAAAACATGCCTGATTTCTCAGTAGCAATAATTTAAAAAGGGAAGACAGTGAGTTATCCTCCTTAGTGAGCTGAGAAAAAATTAAATTCTCATAAAATGAATATTTTGTGCTGATTTAATATCATTGAGGAATGGAATTTTAAAAAGACCTTTTCACAAATATAAATGGGTTGCATTTACTATCAATAGATCCACACTGAAGGAATTTTTAATTAATACTCTTCATCAAGAAGGACATTGATTCAGTAAAGAAAAACTGAGATGAAGGAAAGGTGAGCAAATAAATTGATAAATACTAGATAAAGCATTGACTGCATGAATCAACAATGGTAATGATAATTAATTTGGGAAGGGGGAAACGTGGAGACTTAAATACTCAATGAAAATAACATGCAAATTGGAGTGATAGTAATTGGTATTAATAGTTCTAAAGCATTTTATTTGGGGAGAGTCTGGTAAAGTATTTTATTTAGACATTATTATGTCAAGCAGGCATGTTAAAAAAATTAAAATAGCTCCTTAAAGAATAGAAAAAGAATATACAATATCCATGCAAGTAGAGAGGGGATGGGGAATAAGAAAACCTCAATCAATAAAAATGGGAGGAGAAGAGGAAAAAGAGAATGAGGCATAGAAAAACATGGTAAGTAGAGAATAGAATAAAAGAAAGAAAGAAATACTAGTACCCAGACCACTAAAAACTCGGGTTTCTAGGAATGAAAGTTTGGGTCACCCATGCAGATTAAAAAAAACTCCAACCAACTGAAATGCTAGGTTAGGACAAAGAGAACATAGAACTGGTAGTAGAAGACGGAAGTTGTAAATATCATCTATGGTCTAATGGCCAATTGCAGAAAAAAGCACTGTGCATCTAAACATATGTTACTCCTTGCTTGTTTTAATAAATTCTATGTATTAATAAAAAAATTCCTTATCCTTTTATCTATTATTTTATATGAGCAATGTTGGGGTATTAATTTTAAATTTATGTTATAGCAGTGGTAGTATGCCCAAGAGTGCAACAGCAGTTTTAGATCTGTGGATTTGATCCCAGGAATATTAGCGCCTTCCTCATCTTTTTGTATCATCTCTTCATTTTTGTTCCTGTAGAAAACTCTCTCATTATTTCTCCTCCTGCTATTTCAAGAGTTTTGTACTAAATTTCCTGAAGTAAATGAATTTTGTGTGAAATAATTGGCATGGTTTCTGTTTTCCTGAACAGACCATAACTTAATATCCTACAGTATGTAGGAATTTAAGAGAAAAAGAAAAAAAAAGCATGCATACCTTTACTTCATACTATATATCCTCCCCACAAACAGTCAATTGTTGTGTATTAAAGAACTAAATGTTAAAGCAAAACTTTCAACCTCATAGAAAGAAAATGTTGGACAATATTTTCCGAACTTGAGGTAGAAGAGGAGTTCTTAAACAAAACAAAATACATTTCAAAAGGAAAGTGTTGATGAATGTTACTACATTAAGTTCAAAATTGTATTCATTAAAAGACTACACGGCATGCAAACAGAAAAGATAAACTGCAGACTGGCAGAAGAAAATGCAAATTAAAACCACAATAACATATTTTACCTCAGCCAAATGACAAAAATTAAAATCTGATAGTGCCAAGTGTTGGCATGAATATGGACCAATGGGAATTGACATATACTGCTTCTAAGAGTGATAAATATGAAAGTATAAGGTATAAAAACTTTAGTGAGAAATTTGGCAATATCAAATAAATTTGATAATTCACATATCTTTCAAGAATTCTACTTAGCAGGGATTTCTAATCGCTGAGTGTCAGCACATCAGGCACTGTGGTAGGCTCCACAGGTGTATGGCAATATTGATTCCCCCAGCCCTTGGGGAGCAGGGGCAGGAGGGGCCTCCTAGGCTAGCTATCTATGGGCAAAGTTGTTCATTTATCCCAGTGTGCCATACAGATATTATAATTTTCTAAGTGTACCATAACTTGAAAGAGGTTGGAAAACACTCTTCTAAGATACCAATTCCTTGTTTGCTTTAGATGTTTCAAATATCTTATTTTTATTTTGTAATTTCTCTGCCAATACCTGTTTTGTAGGTACTCTGAGAATATCTCCAATTTTTTTCTACTTCACTCTCACAGTCCCTCTGTGAGACTTGTGGAGAATGGCTATTGCCTCCCCATGAATGTAAAGCTAAACCCAGAGCCCTGGAAAGATGGCCTTTCCAAAGTATTTAAAAAGGGTTATCTTTCTTAGTCTCTTTTCCTTCTTATCTAGTTCCAATGAAAACTCTGACAACTCATCCTTAGATGAAGGAATAAAATATATGGGTAACTTTAAATGTGTACTTGCCTCCCACCTCCACAAAATAACTGGGAAGCTCTGTGACCAGATAGCTCCAAATAAATCAGAGGAAATAATTTTTAAAAGAAAATTGACTAATATGATCTACTGTAAAATAGACAATTAAAGAAATCTGATGTCCTCTAATCTTGTAGTAGCCAAGCTAGAGGCAATTTTCAGTAACTTCTTCCTCTCAAAACAAAACCCAAAACAAAAAAAGTACATTCATAGCACCTAAATATTATTAAGGATTCTCCATTTAACTCATAACCAGAGTTTTTCAAGGAGTTCATACATTAGCCAAATAGAAAAATAAAGCTCCATTCCTATCTCCTTACAGAAAGTAAAATTCCAGGTGTATTACTGCAGAATGTGAAAAAACAAAACCATAAATTTGTGAAAGTAAAACATGAAGAGAATTTTTGCAATCTTTGGATAAATAAGACATTTTTAAGTCAGATATAAAACACAGAAACCATTAAGGAATATCAATAACATACAGTTTAAAAAGAAAAGATTGAAAGATAAACAGAAAACTAGGGATAATTTTGTAACATGTGTAATAATACAATGGGTTAATAATCTTATAAGACAAAAAATAACTTTTATCAATTACTAAAAGATAAACATTCCATGGAAAAAGGTTATAAACAGATTATTAAAAATACATATATTTAATAAATATATGAAAAAATATTTAACCTCACTAATAATAAGAAAATTATACCTGCATTAGTAATGTTTCATTAAATTGACAGTAACTTTGAGAAAAATTCCAGTTTGAGGGCTGCAACTTCTGACACCTGACATGTAAAGTTATGTACATTTTTTTTAAGACAGCATTTACTAATAAATTGTACCCTTTGATCTTAAACCCGTGTATCAGTGTCACAAGAGGAAAGACATGGCACACTCAAATAAGGACACTGTAGGTGAATTTAATAAAGAAGCTGGTTCTATCAAAGATATCTGCAGTTTCACATTTATTGCAACACTATTTAAAATAGCGAAGATTTGGAAGTATCCATCAACAGATGAATGGATAAAGAAAATACGGTAAATATACATAACAGAGTACTATTCAGCCATAGAAAAGAACAAAATCCTGTCATTTGCAAAAACATGGATAGAATCGGAGGACATTATGTTAAATGAAATACGCCAGACACAGAAAGGCAAACTTTGCATGTTCTCACTTCTCTGGGGGAGCTGAAAATTAAAACAATTGAACTCATTGAGATAGAGAGTTGAAGAATGGTTAACAGGCTAGGAAGGGTAGTGAGGAGTTTACGGGAAAGTGAGGGTGGTTAATGGGTACAAAAAAATAGAAAGAATAATTAAGAACTAATATTTGATAGCACAGTAAAATGACAATAGTCAATAATAATTTAATTATACATTTAAATATCTTAAAGAGTATTATTGGATTGTTTGTAACACAAAGGATAAATGCTTGAGGTGAAGGATACCCATTTACCCTGATGTGAGTATCACACGTTGCATGCTTATACAGAAATATCTCAATTACCCCACAAATATATATACCTATTATGTACCCACAAAAATTAAAAATAAAAATAAAGGTGGTTACCAATGTATAAGCAGAGTTTAGGAAACTAGTAAAAGATGGTGCACACTTCCAGAGCTAAGGACAATGTGGAGCCAATACCACCCTCAGCCTGAAGGCAAAATGCCCAGAGTAGTTACTAGAATCTCAAGACAGTTAGAGGAGAGGGTCACCTGATAGAACCTGCGGCTTTTAGCAGAGGAGAGCAGTCACTGTGAATGGAAACCAGCAGGGAGGTAGCTGGGGAAATAAATACCCTGTTCTCACACTACTACCACTCTCAAGTCTCCTGTGATTGCATTCCCATTGCATGAATTCACCTAGAAGCTAGAGTGTGGTCCATACAGATCACAGTCCTAGGCCACAGAAAAGGGTGGGAAACTGGGGACTGAATCTGAAGGAGTAGATGGAAAATATCCACTGTGAACTTGGCGAACCAAAGTCTGAGATTCTCCCAGAAAGACATGAAGAAGATTTGCAAATCTTTGTTTAGGACTTACTCATTTTGGTATGTATTCTTTAACTATTTTGGAAGAAGTAGGAGCCATGTTTCCTAAATAAAGCAAAAGAAAATCCAATGGGATTTCTCCATGGAAAAAGGCTTAATGGGATTTAACCATCCAAAGATACTGTAAACCAAATTAAACAAAACAAAAACCGTAATTCATCTACTTTAGAGGGTTTCCTATATGCTGGAGGAGTACATAGTATATTCCCCTAGTCACAAAGTGAGCAATAGCTCCTGAGACCAGCACAATGTCATTGGTTGGATTTCACCACCTTCAGGTGTAGAACTGAAAACAAAAAGAGAAATACCTAAATGTTACTTGGAAATTACATTTGATTGAGAACTGCATGCATTGAATTGCGCATAGTTGTATGTCTTGGAATGTTTTTTCCAATTGAGATTAAAAGAATAAAAGCACAGACTAGCCCAGATTTGATAAACAACCAGGCACAGGACTTAATTGAGAATGGCAGAATGGCAGAAATTTTAAAAAGGCCGAATTCGTATCCTAGGTGAATCTGGGCCTGGTTGTCAGCTCTGTCTGCACTTTGGCAAGAAGAAATGTGAGTCTCTTTAAATGTGGCCAAAGAAGCATGATTTACTTTAAATTGGTGATTGAGTCTGAGCTTGTCATTTTCTCTCCTTAAGGCATTAATGGCACTTAACAACAGCTACCAAATACCACAAATTATATAGTTATTATTTACCCTGAAACTCGTAAGCATCAGGAACATGACACAACCTAAGTCCATCTGTATCTCATCCAAGATCACTAGAGATGAAACTCTGAGCATTTGTATTGCTATAGCAGGTCAGGAATGATCAATACACTACCAACCACCAGCAATCGAGTCTCTATTGCTATCCGGATGGTGAATGATTTAACTCTAGAGTCCCATTTGTAAAGATGACTTTCTAGAATCATCCCTGGCACCAACTGTCTTAGATTGGGTTTCCTAAAAGCAGAGTCAGAGACAGGGATTTATGTGCAAATGATTTAATGAGGAAGTTCTCTCAGGATAGCTCTTACATTAGTAAGGAAAGCAGAATAGGGCAGGGGATGAAGCATCTCCTGCAAAGATGTAGCAGAAAGTCTAGCCTCAGCCTGATCCTGCTTTGAGCTCAGTGTGCATGGCACACTGAGTCGTCCACCCTGGGGCAAGAGGATGATGTTTTGTATCTCTAGATAAGCTAACTCCCGGAAGAGAAAACATTTCAAACATTTTGGGTGAAAGGGCTCTTGAGTTCCTGTTGATCAGGTGCATTTCTCAGGAAAATAGGGCAGCTGTATGTGAGCTGTTAGCAGCCAACACTGATAACAACTGAGGGCTGGATGCTCTGGTCTTCTAAAAGAAAGCTGGGCAGGGCATCAACAGCTCTACTGTAGGAGGAATGGGAAACTCTTTGTTGAAGAATTAGAAAAGAGTTTGTCTTGAAGATGACACTTGTCTTGTAAGGAAGAGAAAAGAATAATTAGGCTGAGAATACAGTAGCCAAGGTAGTCAGTCAACAAGTTCACTGAGTTCAAATCTGGAGAGGATTTGGATTCAGAATCAAATACTCATCTACTAGGTGTTAATTTTTATTTAGTTTCTTTTCGATTTTTCTTTCTGGATTATTTTACTTGAGTTAATAGCCTGCCAATTCCTCCTGACAGTAATATCAGTGAATACAGCTACTTAATGAGGTATACTGGGGTTAGTTTACAACATTTATACCAATTAAAGTGTTTAAATATCTCACTGGAGTAATAATAGATATCTTATAGAAAGACTGTGCATTTTTGGCAGGTTGAAAACCAACAACAAAAAAACTGTGTAAGACACATGCACACGTATGTTTACTGCAACACTCTTCACATTAGCAAAGCCTTGGAACCAACCCAAATGCCCATCAATGATAGACTGGATAAAGAAAATGTGGCACATATACACCGTAGAATACTATGCAGCCATAAAAAGGATGAGTTCATGTCCTTTGCAAGGACATGGATAAAACTAGAAACCATCATTCTCAGCAAACTAACACAGGAACAGAAAAACCAAATACAGCATGTACTCATTCATAAGTGGAAGTTGAACAATGAGAATACATGGACACAGGGAGGGGAACATCACACACTGGGGCCTGTCAGGGGATAGGGGGATAGGGAAGGGATAGCATGTAGATGGTGGGTTGATGGGTGCAGCAAATCACCATGGTACGTGTATACCTATGTAACAAACCTGCATGTTCTGCACACGTATCCCAGAACTTTAATAATAATAGTAATAATAATAATAATAATAAAAACCTGTGTAAGCAAGGTAGTTTTGCTATGGGCTCCAAATTTCTGAAAGAATGTAACCTGTAAAGGTTTAAGTTTAAAATAATATAGGTAAAAAAAGTGTCAAAGTGAGTTAGAAAAAGAGAAATTTGGATAATTTTAGATTAACTCAACTTATTATTTGTAGGGTATAAGGTATGAGAAAAATACAAAATGACACATGGCATAGCATTCCATTTTGAAATCTCTATATTGAGGACTCATAATTTGAGTATAAATGTTTTGTTTTCTTATTGATATTCAGATAATCAGCATCACTCAGTGAGTCACAACCTACTAAAAAATGTTCAGGGAAGGAAGGACTCAAGGCTAAGTATGTGAGAGTGAGTTTGGGTGAGTGTGCATATTTATATGCGTGTGTGTGGGGGGGTGAGACTTTTTGTATCTGAGTGAATTCATTTCAAAACCAAATATAAATTATTTAAATTTTAAATTGTAAATGCCTGTGTATCTCTGGTGTAGTGTGTAGGTAATCAAGAATTGACACCACAATAAGGCCAGCGTTTGAAATTAGAAGAGGAGCAAAGATTTTCTTTAGAACCTGACAACCAGGATCTAGTGTTGTGCAGCCAGGAGTCATGGGTTATTAAGTGAAATCAAAATCACATCAGGCCTAGGAGCACCTTAACAAGCATTAGTGTTTCATTTAAAGGGAGTGTCTTGTTTCTGAAATATTCATAGCTGGAATCCACCACCACTGCTGCGATTTACATCTCCCTCTCCCCATTATGCTCACTGAATCTCTTTACTTGCTATTGTAGGAAAAATATTCAAAGATTTATAGGCAGCAAAGAGAAGGCAGCAAATTATGACATCCATTATTGGCATCTGCTCTTGTCTGTATCCCCAGGAAATGCAAATACAAATGACTTCCAATTTTCTACTACAACTGAGTTGCAAAGGGAACTGTTATATGCAGATGAGGCAACTTCTATTTGGACAGAGATAAAATGGAAGAAATTTCAGTCTACTACACTTGGCATACCATTTGCATAACTCTGAAAAAGCTGTCACAAAGGGATAATAAAAAATCATAAAGCTCTTAAAGCACCACATACAATCCCTGTAGCTAGACTGCTTATTACAGAAAAGACACAGCTTTAGGTTGTATGGGCTGGTGGAAGATCCAAAAACAAAAGGGTGACTAAATATAGATGCTTCTATATTCACTGGTAAAAGTGATCCCTCTTCTCATGTTTGGCAAAAGGATTACACTAGGTTTGAAAATAACTTATAAGCCAGTATGCAGTAAAGACAGACCCCACATCACCAATTTTTAAAAAATTCTTTTGGCATAAATTATTGCTTCTTTTGGAGGCATGACTAAGGCAATGTTTCCCATTATGTTGTAGGCTCTTTGGGGGCAAGAATCTTTGTATCCACTGATGTCCTGTACCTTCAGTGTCGAAAATAGAATTTTGAACACAACAGAATCTCAAAATAGAATGCTTAATGATGAGAATCGAAGGAATCACAGTGGTAAAGTACTGCAACTTAGGAGATGTGTATTCTAATCTAGTGCCTCTTTCTCAATTTCTTTATCTCTTTGGGCCTTGGTTCCCACATCTGATAAAGTAGATAATAATACCTGTCTTATTTTATTTGGGAATATTTAAATGAATTATCATGGCTAGTGTCCACTATAACATCTGGCATAGATTTGTCACTCAAGACCTGGGTCTTTTTTTCCCTACATCCCTACAACTCTACCACGTCTCAACTTGGAAAGCATAAAGGTCAGCAGTTTCTGACAATTTTAGATCCTAGGCACATGCTCATATCACCTGGCTCATGTCACCTGGTTCTTCACCCGGCTCTTCACCCTCTGCCTGCTCTTATCTTTAAACCTCTACCAGCCTCAAAACTACTTCTCAATTTTTGTTAAAACTTTAGCCTTTGACTTGCAATTTTCCTCTTACCCAAGTCATGATACTATGATAACATCAGTGTCCAGGTGAACAACATACCCAACTGTTTTAACAATCTCCTATTCCCCTTGTTGGTGAGGTTGGGGGAGGATTCTCACTCTGGGAAATGAGGCTAGATAAACACATGACACCCCAAACTAAACAGGTGAGATGGACAGCAGTTTGAGTACTCACAGCTCAGGGGAGGAGGACACTCAGCACCATGCCAGGCCACATGACGTTGCATTTAGCAACAGAGTGAACCACTGAGGGCATTAGGAGGTAGACTTTGCAGTATCAAGAACATGAAGTGTCCTTTGGTTACCACAGAAGGATGTGATTGGCTTTTTGAATAACTGTGGGCTGGCAGGGAACTAAAACCCACTACTCAGTGATAAATAAGAACTGGGCCTATTTCCCATGAGGAGGGTGTTTTGGCTGGGGGATCTTTTCTATGAGAGCAGAGTGGGCAGGAGAGCCTGTGGTGAGGTCATTTGAGGCCCTCCTGATTTTGCCATGTAAAGGTCGCACATCATAGTGACCTTCATTTTAGGCCTCATTACACATCAACTATTTGTCTCACACTTCAATTCCTCTAGCTCCTGAACTTTAAGGGTTTTCACTTCTGTTCTTCCTTGGTAAGGCTCACACTTCTGGTCTAATGCTCAGAATCATAGTCTCCAGTTTCATTCTTACCATATTTCTTGTCTTATCTTATTCCTTTACCCCTTGAAAAAACCCAACTCTGAATCTATTGTATTTATTCCCATGCTGAGAACTACTAGAGAAAACTGCACAGCCGATGATATTTGGGTTGTTATATTTTTATAGTCTTTAACTGCAAGGGGATTATTAATATGGCATAGAATCTCACAACCAGTTCTCTAATTTGCAGAGCAACGACTCCAAATGTCACTGCTGTTCGCAAGGCCCTACTAAAGCTTTCCCCATTCTTACCAAAACATCTAAAATGAGAATTTTATCTACATTGCCATTCTACCTTCATCCTCAGAAGAAGGGACATCTCTCTCACTTTCCGTGACCAAATGTATACTTGTGCTATGAATCCGTTCCTATCTCATATCCTTGACAACATCATTCAATTAATTTTCTCTTCTCCTCTTTATCCTCATCTCCCCCTCTCAGTTGCTCTTTTTCCTTATCATAGAAATATGCCCAAGTCTCTGAATCACCTGAGCTCATGGGTTTGAGAGCAGCCAGGGCAACATGGCAAAACCCCATCTCTACAAAAAATACAAAAATTAGCCAGGCGCAGTGGCGCACACCTGTAGTCCCAGCTACTCAGAAGGCTGAGGCAGGAGAATCACTGGAGCCCAGGAGGCCGAGGTTATAATGAGCCGAGATCTTGCCATTGCACTCCAGCCTGGGTGACAGAGCAAGACCCTGTCTCAAAAAAACCCCAAAAAACAAAAAAGAAATATGTACAAGTCTCTTCTATCCTAAAAAAGCCTACCTTTGATCCTTTAACTACCACTATATCTCTTTTCTTCCCTCATAACCAAGTTGCTTTAACTAATACATTAGAATGTAAATACCCTTCATCCCCATTCACTCCCAGTGTGATGCAGCAACATACCTGCCAACACACATCAATAAATGGACTTTTACCAAACCTACTGAGGTTTTTTTCAGTCTTATCCTCCTTGAGCCTCTAGAAGATGCAGCATTGTCAACCCCTCCTCCAACTTCTGTAACACCTCTTTTCTAATTCTCTGGCAACTTATTTTCAGTTACCTCCTCCTCCATTCCCCACAGTCTGCCCACCCTTAATGTTGGAGTTCCTCAAAGTTCAATCCTCAACTATGTTCCTTATTATTTTTTAAAATCCATACCTATTATTGCCAACTCTCAAGCAATGCCTCTTACCCAGAACCCTTCCCTGAGCTCCAGATCTCTAATTCCATCTCTCTACTAATTGTTGCCACTTTCATCTTTTGCATGCACCCCAAACTCAGAACATTAAACTCATCACTTTTCCCATATATGCACTTTTTACTTCACTCCTCAAGTGTGTCCATAACTCACTTTATATCTTCTATGTTGGTTGTGACTTCCAGGCCTCCTCTTACGGGCCTTGTCCTCTGCATTTTTACATCGCTTCATTTTTCTACCACAGCCTGGTCTCTTACAGTAGTTTTTTTTAACCTTCCTTCAGTAAAGGATCTTTAGTTATCCAAAGAGTTCGGGATCTATGCTAGAGTCAACAGCTCCCAAACCTAATTTAACACAAATGACCTGAAGAAGATTATTTAAAAATATAGATTTGTTATCTGTACCCCTATCTCCTACTCTTACCTACCTACACAAATACACATGCGCATGCACACATACACACACACCCCGAATTAGGAAGGAAGCAGAATAATCAGAATTTTTAAAGTTGCCCATATGATTATCAAGTAAACCATCCTCAGATAAACATTGGGTATTGGGGAAGCATTATAGTTGTGTTGTTGCATAGTATGTTTTGGAAAGAAAGCTCTGGCAGCACTGTGCAGAATGGACTGGAAGTTGGTTAAATGTTGCCAGCATGTTTTCTTGCATATAACATTTTAAAAGGCAATAATTACAGCTACCACTGCATGCACAGACAGTGGTTTCTGTCACAGTAACTCTATTTATATTCTTATCTATCATTATCATCCATCATCTATCTATCAAATGATTGACAGCTGTGCTGACTCTGCCTACAGTGACCAAGAAACTCAGAAATATTAATTGATTTTCATAAGATCACACAGTAACTCAGTAACATCAGCAAAGATCAGATTTTTTGATTTTCTGCTCCTTGTCTTGCATAGTTCTCCCTGAGCCAGTTCACTATCTAGAGATAGGTTATCATCATATCTTCTTTAAATAAGTCTTTCCAGTGGCTTGTGGAATTAGCCAAGACCTCATTTCCTCATTATGAAAGTGTTCAGGCAATCAGATCTACTCTCGAGACCATGCCTTCCAAATCTGAAGAAGATTCAAATCTGAGAAGTGAATACATTTTATCTAAGCAGAGCCTGTCAGAACATTTTTAATAAAGACCTGGCCCAATTTCAGAGCTTTCTTTTCATTAGGGCAGGTCTGAAAGCAAAGGCCTTGAAAGTGGTTAGAAAAACATAGTGTAATCACTATGGTACCATTATCCTGTCCCTGGGTAATCATTAGGCATCAGCCTGCCAAAGTGAAGGGCGGCAAATTACTCATTTATTGTTACCTGAGCTGTGCAGAAGATTGAAATCTGGACTACTAATGATTTTTTTTCACCTTGTTTAGGAGATTCTGTAGAAAAGTTCACATGTAGCACACATGCTGGCTTGCTGGCGAAAGTGCTTTTAGACAAATATGAAAGGGAAGCAAAGCATCACCTTCCTTCAAAAGTAAAGCTGAAAAGCTCCTATCATTTCATGAAAGCAGTTCTAAGGGAGAAATACTAAGAGTCATCAAGATCTATAACTGAAGAGGAAACTAGTTAGTTGACTGTGAGTAGATTTTTATCTGCTCTAAAGAGATCAGACACTCAGTACATGTTGAATTTAACACAAATCAAGCTTAAGGTAAATATTTACCAACAGTTTGTAGGGAAAAAATTCTTATTTAATGACATCATCTAATGAATTAGATTTTTTTTTTGTGCACTGTTTTTGCAAGTTTCAAATTCAATAAAGCCTCCAAGTCTAGGTGCAGTGAAAGACAATCAAACCATTCCTAATCTTATTAAAGTTAAAAGCGTAAACACTTAACTTTGGGAACAGTAAAAGTCAGCCATTACTAAATTTGTATTGATACCTAAAATAGACATCTGAAGTGAACCTCTAAGCAATTTCTAATTCTTAAGCCCAGAATGAAATTTTATACATCATATAGCAGAATAAAATGATATTTCCAAAGCAGATTTGGAATATCTATATGACTATTCTAGATGGAGTGAAATTTCTGAGAATATATGTTATCAGTCTAGATTAGTAGAAAGACCCTAATCTGAAGTGAAATGCAACTTTCATATTGGATCAGATTCTAAGGTGGAAAGGTGCTGAAGATAACTGATGTAGGTAAGGAGGGAGTTCTAGATAGTTTTCAATGGTTTTGTGAAGGCGAAATGTTACATTCAAAAGTAAAGATCTCTTTTCTTCCAAGTAATGCCTCTTGCTTCTGTGAGAAGTAGTACAGTATCTGGAATGGGGACACAAGAATCAAAAAGCATTGATTTCTATTGCTGGCTTGGCTGGTGACTGCTTCTTTAGTCTGAGTCAATTTTCCTAGCCTATTTGTGATTAAATCTCGGCATTTACAAAATGAGGTTAGTAATCTTTTCTATTTGAGACCCAGCTAATATTATTATTAGGCCTTTTGTTCGTGTTATTAATGTTTATGATGCCTTTAGGGATTTTCAGATTAAAAAAAACATTCTATAAGCCAAAACTGTTATTAATACTGTCTTTCATGTTATCCCAAAAAGGTATTGTGGAAACTGACAAATTAACATTTGCAATATTCTTTAGAAAGGACTGGAATAAACAGTGCCAGTATTACTTAATGCACAGGTTCACCCTTGAAGAACCTATAGAAAATCTACAAGTGATAGCTTCCTGATCCAACCTAATATTAGGCTCATCCCAGACTCTTAGTCACTTAAAGCACATGCCAAATGATTATGAATCTGTATCTATTTTTCCATCTAAAGTCAGGGTTCCATTCTACCCACACCATGTAGAAAGGTGAAGTAATATGAAGTTTCATTTTTTCAAAACTTAGATCTAGTTATTTGTAAATTGTAAACCTTCCCTTTGTTTCACTGTTGATTCTTGAAATGTTCCTGATGCATTATAATTCCATTTTCTAACAGACTGGATTTTAACATGACGGCATCCTCTGAGGTTTTGGATTTATTTTTCAGAGGATTGCTTAATGTTTAATGCCTTATAGATGCTGGACATATTTTTATGGTGCCTGGCTTTGAATGGCTATTACAGTGTACATTACAGTCATAGGGCAACTTCAATTTACACTATTTTACCTACTTATACCATTTCCACGGCTCTCTATTGTAACATTATCATTAAGGTTGCTGGCCCTTTTGCTGCCGACACCATGATTAAATCCTATTACAATTACTCTCGTTATAAAATCTTCTCATGCTTCTTGGCACTAAAAGTGCACAGAGCCATGCAGGTGGTAACATAAAGAGGAGCAATGTACTCTGAACTAAAATGTTAGGAGAGCTTTATCCTAAAGAAGGAAAATAGATCCCCAAAGTAAGATATTACTGTATTACTCTACTCCCTGGGGATGGATTTTCTTTTGAAGTTTATTTTATATTACTAAAGAGGGTTTTGTTCTTATTTTGTTTTTCCCTCTAGGGGAGCAGAACAGAGGGATGTGATGTGGAGGAATTCTTGACAAAGGGAGGCTTAGAAAAAGGCCTGATAACTAGGAAAATGACAGGCTGTTTTAAGACAAAGAGGGGGGAGAACCTAGTCAATGAAATAATGTCTCATATTTCAGATACAATAATGGTACTTCTTACACCTGGGAATGATGAAATGTGAATTGGGATATTTTTTCTTCTAGTGGTAGATAAGGATTCAGCAGTCCTCACAACTAGAAGCAAGAACCTGTAACACAGGTGGCAGCAGAACTGAGGTGCTCACTTTATGAAACCCAACTTGTCTTCAAAACTATTTAACTTTACCTAATTAGTATCTTGGTCTAAGCATCCACATTTCAGGCAAGCAGCCAGGTCCCTGTGTGGTGTGTGTCTGAGTGGGACTGTAAGAGGCAGTGCAGAGTGCTGGTTAAAGCCTCCAGTGTGGTGGCCAAACTGCCTGTGTTAACTTCTGGCCTCTGTCACTTTTTTTGGTGCTTTTAAGTCAAATGCTCCTGCCTATGTTTTGGTTTTCTAATCTGTTTCCCCATCCTCATAAGCTTGTTAGCAAGATTGAATTATTAATAGTTGGTATTTGTGAAACACTTAGAACAGTGTGTGGCCCACAGAATGTGTCATCTTATCTTAGTGGTGTGTTGGGAGCAAGCCCCCCAAAATCTGGCCATAAACTGGCCCCAAGACTGGCCATAAACAAAATCTCTGCAGCACTGTAACATGTTCATAATGGCCCTAATGCCCATGCTGGAAGGTTGTGGGTTTACGAGAATGAGGGCAAGGAACACCTGGCCTGTCCAGGGCGGAAAACCGCTTAAAGGCATTCTTAAGCCACAAACAATAGCATGAGCGATTTATGCCTTAAGGACATGTTCCTGCTGCAGTTAACTAGCCCAACCTATTCCTTTAATTCGGCCCATCCTTTCTTTTCCCATAAGGGATACTTTCAGTTAATTTAGTATCATAGAAACAATGCTAATGACTGGTTTCCTGTTAATAAATATGTGGGTAAATCTCTGTTTGGGGCTCTCAGCTCTGAAGGCTGTGAGACCCTTGATTTCCCACTTCACACCTCTATATTTCTGTGTGTGCGTCTTTAATTCCTGTAGCGCCACTAGGTTAGGGTCTCCCCGACCAAGCTGGTCTCAGCAGTGGTGTACTGTACTATTAATGTATGTGTGCCCTGGGGTTGGCATGCACATATATAAAGTTTGATGGTACTAGGGACATTCATACCCTTATTTCCCACTCTACCTTAAAAACATGCAAGTGTGAGAAAATTTGGCAAAAGATAAATGGAACATATACAAACATAACCAATTCAGTGTAATAAAATGATATTTCATGTAGTAATAATAGACAATGATCATTGGACACGGACTTATATTAGACTAAGTACTTTATGTGCATCATTGCACTGAATCCTCACGGTAACTCTATGAGTAGGCACTATTATTATTCTGTTTACCACTGAGGGAAATAAAACACAGAGGTTAAATTCATACTGCTTATGTATGATGAACTGGGATTTATCTGACTGGTATTTTTCTACTTATCTTTCTCCTTCATATATAGATATAGATATATCTTCTGTTTGTAATGCTATGTACATTCATAATTTAGTCCACAGTTAACAATTCTTATTCTTGTCCATCCATATATATTTTCTCACAACCAGAACTAGAAATTTACAATAAAAATTAATTTATAGATATATAGCTCTAGATTCTATACTATTATAGCTACCTTTTATATTTGTATGTGTCTTTATTTGTATAAAGGTGCATACCAAGTATCTATTTTTTAGAAGTTCAATATGCATGTCTTGTCTATCCTCCTAAATGCAAGTAAAATACCAAGATGAGAGTGGTACAGGGATGTGATCTGTTCCAGGTATAAGTTGCAAAGAGGCACAATGTTATGGAGAATTTAAAAGTAATAAAAAAGTCCAAAAGTCAACTTTCTTTTTCTTATCACCATGCAATTCTAAATTGTGTTGATGATATAGCATTGCTCCTCACCAGGGCATTTCCCTAGTCCTCTCCCACCTCCCTCCCCTTGGGTGGGTCACTGCATATCTTTGGGGACAGGAAAGTAAAGTGTAATACACAGGAAAGGATATATTTTCAATAATAAAAGTACCTATTAACCATCTATTAGTAATGTATTTGCGTAGCATGTAGACACTTCTAATATCTGCTCTTAGGATACTTTCACTGCAGAGAGAAAAATAAAATGTTCATATAAACAAACATACAAACCCAGAAACAAAGGCAAATAACAGACACAAAATCATCTTTGTTCAATTCATCCCTTAGTATCCAGAAAGGCCCAGAGGCATATATCCACTTTATTTTGTTCCTGGTGTTTGGCAGGGGAGTAGGTAGTTTTTTGGTGATGAGAGAAGAATAGAAGAAGTAGTTAAGGATAAACCCTTTCCCATTTAACTGTTCCATTCTTTTCTTCGCCGCAACGAGGTGTATGATGCATGGAAAGGAATAAGAATTCAGAACAGTGTGACTAAATCACACTTGTTAAAGTTAGAAAAGCCCTGAATAGGTCAATTTTACTGACTTCACAGAGGGAAAAAAAGCACAAGAACCTTTTCATGAGGGGCAAAAGGTGTTGTAACTCCCACCTGAGCTTACAATTACCGTTTACTCACCTGCCTACCACCATTATTATCATCAAACTTTATTGATAAGGCCATCCCATGGGAAAACCATAAAATATGAGGAGTTTTCTTTGGCTTATCCTTCTTTCAGAAGACTTTTACAGCCCTCACCTTATTACATCCTGCTGCACCCTAGCTACCACTACCATCACCATCATCTTCAACCCCTTTTCACCATACATAAGATTTTGAGGGCTTTGGCAGTAACTCACGTTCCCAATTTTTTCCACTTTCTTTCTCCCATCAACATTTTCCTCTTTGGTTTCCCATCCCCTCAAACCCCTACTGTGTGGAAATGACTGGTGATCAATCAATCAAATCAATAGATCAGATAAACCCATTCCTCAAGATGGGTTGGCGGGTTATTTTTATAAAAGTAAATTAGATGTTTTCTCTGCACTTTCAGGCTGAGAACTAAGAATATAGATCCAGAATTTTTAGTAGAACTACCCCTAAAATAAAGTCAGGATTAAAACATAATAAGCAGCAAGTGCTACTGTTATTCAGTTGCCTCCTAGGAGTGGGACTGAATTGATTGTCAGTTTTAGAGAGTGAAAATAAAGCAAGGCCTATCCAGGAATTTGAGATGAGGTGATTCCACAATGAAAAACTGGTCCTACAGATTTAAGCAGCAAATAACTGTTTAAAGGCAAAAGGGGCCAGGCATGATGGCTCACACCTATAATTTTAGCACTTCGGGAGGCCGAGGCATGTGGATCACCTGAGCCCAGGAGCTCGAGACCAGCCTAGGCAGCATGGCAAAACCCCATCTCAACAACAACAACAACAAACACAAAAATTAGCTGGGCATGGTGGCATGCACCTCTAGACCCAGCTACTCAGGAGGCTGAGGTGGGAGGATCGCTTGAGCCTGGAGGGTGGAGGCTGCAGTGAGCCATGATTGTGCCACTGAACTCCAGCTTGAACAACAGAGTGAGACCTTTTCTCAAAATAAATAAAGAAATTAAGCCAAAAAAGTGAGAATAATCCAGAAAGAAGGCTTCCTCTTAAGTGTTCTAAAAGGATAGCTTCTCTTCCCCTCTGAATCCTTTATAACTCCATAGAAAACAGTGGAAAGGATAACAATAAATGCAGAATGGCATATACCCACCCTACATCTGACCATGTCACCTGAATGTCAGGAAAAGGCCTAATTATGTTCCTTGGATCCTATTAGAATTCAAGAGAGTCTAATTAATTACATTGCATTTCTCCTAACTGAACGTATTTGATATAGTTTGGATATTTGTCCTCACCCAAATCTCATGTTGAATTGTATTCTCCAGTGTTGAAGATGGGGCCGGGTGGGAGGTGTTTGGATGATGGGGGATGATCCCTCATGAATGGCTTGGACTATCTCCTTGGTGATAAGTGAGCTCTCACTTCAAGTTCACACGAGACTGGTTGTTTAAAAGTGTGTGTCACCTCCCCACTCCACACACTCTGTCTTGCTCCTGCTTTTGCTTCCTGATGCAGCTGCTTCCCCTGCTAGCTTCTGCTATGATTCTTAATTTCCTGAGGCCTCCCCAGAAGCTTAGCAGATGTTGGTACCATGCTTCCTGTAGAGCCTGCAGAACCATGAGCCAATTAAGCCTATTTTCTTTATAAATCACCCAATCTCAAGTATTTCTTTATAGGAATGCAAGAATGGCCTAATACAATATTCAAACACCAAACTTTTGCTGATACCTTCTAAAGTGATTTAATATTTAGCTGGATTAAGATACATTTCTCTTTTGTTTTTGTTTTTTGTTTTTCCTTCAACTTTTAAGTTCCAGGGTACATGTGCAGCATATGCAGGTTTGTTTCACAGGTAAATGTGTGCCATGGTGGTTTGCTGCATAGATCAACCCTCACCTAGGTATTAAGCCCAGCATCCATTAGCTATTCTTCCTGATGCTCTCCCTCCCTGCACCCTACCTCCCAGTAGGCCCCAGTGTGTGTTATTCTCCACCATGTGTCCATGTGTTCTCATCGTTCAGCTCCCACTTATAAGTAAGAACATGTGGTATATGGTTTTCTGTTCCTGTGTTCATTTGCTGAAGATAAAAACTTCCAGCTCCATCCATGTCTCTGCAAAGGATATGATCTTGTTCCTTTTTATGGCTGCATAATATTCCATGGTGTGTATGTACCACATTTTCTTTATCCAGTTTATCATTCATGGGCATTTGAGTTGATTCTATGTCTTTGCTGTCGTGAACAGTGCTGCAATTAACATACACATACATTTACCTTTATAGTAGAATGATTTATATTCCTTTGGGTATATACCCAGTAATGGGATTGCTAGGTTAAATGGTATTTCTGCCTCTAGATCCTTGAGTAATCTCCATACTGTTTTCCACAATGGTTGAACTAATTTACAATCCAACCAACAGTGTAAAAATGTTGCTTTTTCTCTGCAACCTCACCAGCATCAGGTGTTTCTCGACTTTTTAATAATCACCATTCTGATGGGTGTGAGACAGTGTCTCATTGTGTGTGTGTTTTTTTGTTTTTGTTTTTGCTTTTTTTTTTAGATGGAGTTTCACTCTGTTGCTCACACTGGAGTGTAGTGGTGTGATCTCAGCTCACTGCAGTCTCCACCTTCTGTGTTCAAGTGATTCTCTAGCCTCAGCTTCCTGGGTAGCTAGGATTACAGGTGCCCACCACAATGCCTGGCTAATTTTTGTGTTTTTAGTAGAGACGGAGTTTTGCCATGTTCGCCAGGTTGGTCTCAAACTCTTGACCTCAAGTGATTCGATCACCTTGGCATCCCAAAGTGCTGGGATTACAGGCATGAGCCACCGCGCCCGGCCCTCATTGTGGTTTTGATTTGCATTTCTCTAATGATCAGTGATGTTGAGCTTTCTTCATAGGTTTGTTGGCTGCCTGAATGTTTTCTTCTGAGAAGTGTCTGTTCATATCCTTTACCCACATTTTAATGGGGTTGTTTGTTCTTGTAAATTTGTTTAAGTTCCTTGTAGACTCTAAATATTAGACCTTTGTCAGATGAATAGATTGCAAAAATTGTCTCCCATCCTGTAGGTTGTCTGCTCACTCTGATGATAGCTTCTTTTGCTGTGCAGAAGCTATTTGGTTTAATTAGATCCCATTTGCCAATTTTTGCTTTGTTGCAATTGCTTGTGTCGTTTTCATCATGAAATCTTTGCCTGTGCCTATATCCTAAATGGTATTGCCTAGATTTTCTTCCAAGTTTTTATAGTTTTGAGTTTTACGTTTAAGTCTTTAATCCATTTTGAGTTAATTTTTGTATGAGGTATAAGGAAGGGGTCCAGTTCTAATTTTCTGCACATGGCTGGCCAGTTTTCCCTGTTATTGTTTATTTTTGCCTATTTCAACTTTCTTTTTGTTCTTGTTTTTCTTGTCTGCTTTTTTTTCATCTCTATATTTGACTATAGTTTTCTTGATTACAGCACTCCACTGTAAAAAGACTAATTTGTAAGTATTTTGGAAGAGTGAAAATATAGTTTAATTCAGATAATAAAGAACCTTGACTGATAGACTAAATAATGTTAGGGAGAGGCCACTGAAAGCATTTGAACTGGGAAAGAAGTGATGAAAAAGTGTTGCTGGATCCTAGTGTAAGAATGGGCTGCAAGATGTTGAAATAGGTATTCATTTTTAAAGTAAAAACTAACATAGATGATTATGGCAAAAAAAGAAAAAAAACTCACAAAAAACAAAAAACATTCACCTTCAATAGTAGACTACCTCAAACTGGATCAGCCATGTACCCATTACATTGTTTCAAATCCCAAAGGTGTGAAAAGCGGCATCAGTGGCAAAATGGAGCTACATTCACACCATTGCCAAGGACTTACACGTGAAAGCTTAACCACCTTTGCAGATTTTCATCATCATTCCTACCAAATTTTAGGTAAAAAAGAAGGTAATTGTAATTTCCGGTGTCTCTAAGAGTGTTAAGTAACAAGTGAAACTGATTTATTTTAAAACTGTTTATCTCTGAACTATTGTCCTAAACATGTATATATATAAAACAATTATTTACATTTCAAATACAGACATACATAAAAACAATGATAGAACATTGGTAATATATAAGTTTTCTGATTTTCTCAGTATTGTTTTCTCTTAGTTCATCAGAGCTATTAAGGTAAGCTGTTACGTAAGCTTTCAGGCAATAGGCATATAGTACACTAGGCTTCTACTGCTTTTTGTCAAGGAGGGCTCTATTGCGCTCTTTGAGCCTGAGTGTGTTTGGCATCATTTGTTTTTGCTTTATATGCAATCATATATCTTGTAAAGAAAATAATAGAAGAAAAAAGGAAAATATTTATATAGCCTTTTATATTTACCACCATTTCCAGTGCTCTTTATTTTTTCCTGCAGATTCAACTGCTGTTTGTTGTCATTTACTTTCAGCATAAAAGACTACCTTTAGCATTTCTTCTAAGGAAGATACACTAGCAATAAATTCTTCCAGACTTCGTTTACCAGATATTTCTTAATGTAGCTAACATTTTGCCTTCAGTTTTGAAGTATAATATTTGTACATAGAATTTTCAGTTTTTAACAGCATTAATGTGATATAATGTGTATACTGTATAATTCACCCATTTAAAGTGTACACTTCAATGACAGTATAGTCAGAGTTGTGTGGCAATTACAATTAATTTTAGAACATTTTTGGATATAGAATTCTGGGTTGAAAGTCATTTTTTATTTCTTTCAGCACTTTGATTATGCTATTCCATTATCTTCTGGCTTCTATTATTTCTGATAAGTCAGCCATTAGTAATATTGTTTTCTAGTATTCAATGAATGATTTTTCTTTTGCTTATTTCAAAATAATTCTGTGTCTATTTGGCTTTCTGTAATTGACTCTGATGTGCCTAGATGCAGATCTCTTTGTCTTTGTCCTTTTGGGGAATTTTTGAGCTTCTTGAATCTTTAGACTAACCTTTTTCATGAAGTTGGGGGTTTTTGGTCATCATTTCTTCTTTTCTTTCTCTTTTCTTCTGGGACTCTCATGACATGTATGTTGGTATGATCTCCAGAATAGGTCTTTTCCACTGATGTATCTTCATGGTCACTGATTCTTTCTTCTGTCATCTGAAATCTGCTGTCAATCCTCTTCAGTAAATTTTTTATTTTGATTATTATACTTTCCAACTCTAGAATTTCCACTTATTTCTTTTTTATAGTTTATTTACTGAGATTCCTGATTTGTCATTTTCATTATATTTTCTTTTAGCCATTTACATTTACACTATATGTGCATAGTTTCCTTCAATCTTTGAATATATTTATAATGGCTGCTCTGAAGTCTATCTAATAAAACCAAAATATAAGCCTACTCAAAAGTTTCTATTTACTGCTTTTTCCTCCCAAGTATTGGTCACACTTTCTTATTTCTTTACATGTCTTCTATTTTTGTTAAACACTGGATATTTTAGATGATATACTGTAGCAACTCTGGATTCTGCTTTTTTTCTGACTTTTCCAGTTAAGAGTTTTCTTCTCCTCCCACCCCTTACACTTCTCTTTTTCTCTTTCTTTTCTTCTTCTTTCTTCTCTTTCTTTCTATAATTGATTGGACTTATACGTAGAAGTTTTGTCCTCTGCCATGTGTCACCACTAATGTCTCTGTTAAAATTTTTAAAATTCTTATATTTTTACTTTTTAGTTTGGCTTTCTAGCATCATCTGCATAACTTAATGGTCAGCCAATGACTGGTCAAAGATTGTGTTCAAACACCTTAAGCCCATAAAACCTACCTTCTACCATTGGATCTGTGTGTGATTTGAAGATGACATCCAAAGTTTATACAGTTTCCATATCTGCCCAGATTTTATTTTCCTGACAGTCTTCTTGGGTGTACAGAGAGTCCCTAGTTAGTCAGAGATGCATGGAGAATGTATACAACCCCTCTATGGCTCTCTCACTTCCAGGATCTCCCTATTACATTTCTGGTTGTTCTGTAAGCCTGCCATTCATCCCAACCAGGACTGCAACCTTAGACTAGAAAAGCTGCAGGCTTGCTTCATTCATTTCTTATTGAGTTCACTGCTTTTACCGAAAACATTGCTTTTTTTCAGACACGAGCTTTTGACTCAGCTCCAAAGCAAGTCCACCATTTCTGGCAGCAAATCTGCTGGTTTTCACAGCCAACTCTACCCCGCTGTAACTACTCTGCCAATCAAGCTGGGGGTAGAAGAAATGGAGGCAGCCCCAGGCAGAAAGACCATGGCCTCCCTCTATTTTTACCTGAGATTAGAGCAGCTTTTAATAAATAAATAGCTCTCTCTTTGTTGTTTACCTTTGTTTAATTTCTGGAGCCCTGAAATGCTTGGGGCTTTTCTTTGACAATTTTGTCCAGTTTTGTAGTTGGCTTTTGAGCATAGAATATGCGGACTTCTTCCCTCAATTGTGGTCCAAATTCCTATCTACCAATCATGCATTGCTTATTCTATGGTGGCCTCTTTTTCTACCATTTAGTTTGTGTTCTGGGAACAATTTTTACCTATAATGTCTGACTAATGAGGTGCAAGAGGTAAAGTTGAAACTGTCTCAAATAAACAAAGTAAGAGAATCATGCCAAAATTGAAAATGCAAATTTTACAGTTGTCTAAGCACCTTACTAGTTGTCTAGGACTAATAAATGGTCTAGAAAGGAGGATAAACCTTAGAAAGCAGTCAGCATATTACTAATTGGGATTCACAATATATTTATTATGAAAGGCACCATAACATGGCAACCTATGCAGTTCTTTGGCACCTCATTCAATCTCTTGGCCTTAAATATTATCTACATGTTAATGACTCCCAAATTTATATCACAATCCACACCTCTCTCCTATACTTCAGACTCATATCTCACAGCCAATTTCAATATCCATGCTTGAGTGTGTAATAGACATTTCACACTCACCATGTCCAAAGCTGATATTATCTTGCACCAAACCTCTCTTCTTTTAGCCCTGTCTATCTTTGGTGATGGCAACTCCATTCTTTTAGCACTAATGCTAAAAATGGTATAGTCTTCATTGAATTCTCTCTTCTCACACCCCACATCCAATCCACAAAGAAGGTGTGTTGTTCAAAATATAATGAATTTCCAAAGTACAAATAAAATCCAACCACTTTCTTCATCTCCACTGATATATCCCCATAAACCCACTATTACGTCTTACCTGGGCATGATAAATTCGCTATCATGTCTCACCTGGATTATCACTGTAATATTCTTCTAACTGGTCTGCTTCTACCTTTGTCCTCCTGCATTCTATGATAGCAGCCAGAGTAAAGTTGTTAAAGCTTAAGCAATATATCAAAAAACTCTCTTGTGCTTAAAACCCTGCAATGGCTTCCCATTTCATGCAGAGTGTAAGCCAAGGTCTTTGCAGTAGCCCATAAGGCCCTTCATGAACTTGTCCCATGATATCTTTGACCTCCTCTTACTCTATTTATTCTAGCAGTATGTCCACACCAGCCATAATGGCCTCCTGCCATTCATCAAACATGTCAGATTTGCTATTGCCTTAGGGCCCTTGCCATGTCTTTTCCTTCTGCTTCAAATGCTTTTCCCACACATACTTGCATTTTTAATTTTTCAACCCCTTCAAGTCTGAGTAATAATTACCTTCTCAATGAGGCTTATTCTAACCACCACTAACATCCCGTCTAAGTATTCACTATTTTTGTACTTAACATCTTATTTATACCATATAATGTGTTGATTTATTATGTTTATTGTTTACTATCTCTCTCCTCTAGAATGAAAGGTTCATGAGGACAGGGATTTTTGTCTGTTTGTTCATGAATATATTTCAAGCACCAAGAACAATGCCTGACACATACCAGTAAATGAATATTTGTTGAGTGAATAAATGTTTTCTTTAGCTTTTAAGACTAGACCAATAGCTGGTCTTAAAACTAGCTAATAACTAAGTAGTAACCCTACCTGTTGCAGTATAATATAATCAGTATAACATTAAAAAGTGCTTTCAAAAAATGTACTTCATCATGGGTACTAACATCAGTAAATAACATGTTACTCGAAGTTTCCAACAATAAATTTAGTGGTGAAAACCAGTACAGTATGCTAGGGGACATGACAATGTAATGGTCTTGGATAGGTTACTTTTAAGTGACTGTAAGCTGCAATGATTAATGGTCCTTCACCTTAATGTAGAAGGAAACATGGCAGAGACTCATACTGTCTCTTCCTTGGTTTACTGCTAGACCCAATTTCTCAGCCCCTTGTATCTTAGATGGAGACATGAGAGTAGTTTGGACAATGTGGGTTGAAAAGATGTGATCCACCTTCCTGTCTAATTTCTTAAATTTCTCTTGTGATTTTGTTTTCTTCCCTTGTCCTCTGGTTGGATGGAGAGGATACAGTGTAGGATTCAGAGGTCGTAGAAGATGGTGGAGTCTCTGGATGGAAGGAAGCTGGGTCTCTAAATCACAAGGTGGAAGACGACTCACCAAACACCTTATTGGACAATGACATGAATGAGAACTAAAACCTTTATAGCTGTAACTCACTAATAGTTGGGGTTGATTGTTATGATACCTAGTCTACCTAGGCCAATAGAGCCAATTCCTAATAATATCATCTCGGAAGGGTAGGATGAAGCCAGATTATGCAAAGCAATGAAAATGACATATATTGAGTATCAAGGAAAATTGAAATCTTTGGCAAAGTGGGATTGCCATCTCTAAAAACTGTTCTTTTAACTAAAATACACCAATATACTAGCAATTCTTCTTTGAACTAAATAGACTGGCGCTTTTAGGACCTGAGATGTGAAACTCTGCCCTAAGTTAGGATTCATCTTTCAATTCAAATAGCAGTGTCAACAGGAAAGCAAGTTGGCTGTTTGTGCTTGGCACCACCTGGCTGCAGTTACATCACTCAGCACTAAACATGCTGGCTGTGTCAGAGTTGAGTACTGTCATTCTGATGAAGTGGGGAGTGTGTTGCCCTGGTAGGAAGCCTTTTAAATTGAATGACAAGGTTTTTCTTATTTGTTATATCCCAGGCCATTGTCAAATCATATAATGCCAGCCCAGGAAAGTAATTACTGAGCTGTTGTGAGGCTGTTAGCAGCTGCTTTTCATTTTTCCCCATTGTGACTGGGATGTGGTGGAGAAAAATTGGGATGACTAAGAACCACAACATAAACGCCACCCAATCTGCTGGCCAGTCACATATGGCACTTACTTTCAACCAAAGGGAAAAGAGCAGCCCCCTGAAATGTCATTAGATGTAAGAGCTGAGTATAATGAAGAATCTATAGCAAATTACCACAGACCAAGGTGTGATGATAGGTGGATTCCATTTATTAAAGCATGAAAATCATTAGGCCACAAAGTCTCATTTCTAAAAACAAAATTCTGTGTTGATCCCATTAAGAAATCCCTGTTCCTCCTAGCTGCTACTTTTCTTTTAGCATTTTCCTTATTTTTGTGTAAGAATTACAATGAACCTTTGGCTAACAACATGTTACTCAAAGTTTCCAACAATAAATTTAGATTCTCATAAAAAAGCAACTGCTAAGATATATGAAGGGGAAACCAACATTATTTAATGTGTTTTAATCTTGCCATATTACCTTAATTTGATTCTTTGTAATAAGAACCTTATAAGCCATCCAGTACTTATTTTCAAAGTTAATTTATTTCCTAAACTGCAGTTAGTGAAGAATGGCAGACATTTATAAGCTGATTTAAAGTGAAAACAGATATGTATTGTTTTAAAGTTATAATTGCTTAAAGTTTAATGGAAACTGCTTAAAATCCCTATCACTACTAAATGCTGTGTTTCCAATCAGGTGACAAGATAATCATGATGAACCTTAAGTGATTATTCATTGTCCATTTTCTTTGAATGAAATCGTTTAACTGGAAGCTAGTAAGTTATTATGTGCACATACAATCCATTCTTGTTCTGAAAGTCATTGCTTTCCTTTCCTTGGCTACTGAGATAAAATAAATACATTTGTATGTCTTTTAAAAATTGCAACAGGCAGTTGCTTCCCTATACTGTAGGCAATATCCCTTCCACTCAGAATTGGAACTCTTTTTAAAAAATAATTTATTTGCAAATGATGAAAGTGTTCAGAGGCTTGAGATCCAACAACATCCCAAATGAAAATAATTAGAATTTGTGGTAAAGATAAGAGTGAGATTTGAAACCTGTCGGTACATATCACCAAGTAGAAATAAATTATGGCTTGTCAAAAATGACAGATTTCAGCAAGGTGCTTCCTTTTCACTTTGAGTAAGACCTTTTTCCACCTAGCAATTAACTTTATTCCCATTAATATTCAGTAGCATTGACAAGGCTGACAGAGTAAAACTGGGTTTTATAAAACTAAAGACACATTGATGGAGACTCATTACTTTGTCTAATAATTTCATCATTATATGTTATATCTTAATAAATAAAGAACAAAGCTGTTGACTGTAGCATTGATTTGTTGTGCCAGGTAAAGGACTCAGATTTTCTGTGTATATTTTCTTTTTGTGATTCATAAATTTATTTTTGAAAATAAACAGTAATTTTGCCTAAAGGGTTGCAGAGGTGACAAAATAATACATTTACACGATACCATAATACCCTTAGTACTGGCATCGGTTCCTTTAGATATTTCTTCACAAGCTGTAAATAATAATTATGCCACACAGTTACATCAAACGAGCAACTACACTTAAATGACCCTTTGATTATAGATCGAGAAAGCCTAAGAGCAAGTATTTTATTGTGGTTTGGTAGAAAAAGAGCAAAGGATTAACTAACAACTCAAAGAAACATAAAAACCAAACATTTTGATCTTTCCTTTTTTATGATATAAAATGTTAGATAACAGAGCAGGTTTCACAAAACTTTAAGATGTGTCAAAGATGATGTTGCTTGAGACATAACATCTGCTCTGTTTTTGTATTTGTCATATTTCCCACACTTGATCTTAGCCAAAAGGCCGAGAAGCAATTATTTGTAATATTTCCTTAAAAAATTCAAAATGAAACATTGTACTTCTCAAGGCTTATGGACACAGTTGTTGGGCTTTTTTTTTTTTTTTTAAATTCATACAGGTCACTTTGGCTGAGTTCAGGTTTGCTTTCTCTTTTATAACTGTGAGAAAAGAATTCTCACTGTTGGTGAGAAAGATGTGATTATTTGCCTAACAAAATCAACTTGACTTTTTTTCTCAAAGTTTCTAAGTTGTTTTTCCCTCTGCCATGAAAAGTGACGTCTCACAGGTGAAAGTCTGCCATTTTTTCTTAAAGAGTTCTTTTTCCATTAACATTATATAGCTCCGCACATTTTTTTGCCAGCAGCAACAATAGTGATTTTGGGATGTATTATTGACATGAAATTTTAACACTTGCATTTATTTTCTGTGCTATGACAACATACTGTTCTGTGGTAGAAATGACACAATTTTAGTCTTCATCAAATTCATAGTTTCTGCAAAAGTCTTATTTTTCATAAGTGAAAATTCATGTAGTGAAAAGGGAGTCATTTCACGCAGTTCTGACTTTGGCCCTGAGCACATGCACTGAGCAGCTCTCCTCTTTACTCCTCTAATTTTTGTCAGTATTAAAGTCTGCAGATGGGTATGTCACACCTGAACACCCTGAGTACAGAGCGTGTAATTATAATAAAAGCTTTGGATTAGATTTCCCTAGCCCTTGAGTTTCTTCTTTTAAGTACCTCTCTGATGTTCCACATCACCTTCGATTATTATATCCTGTTAGCTCTGATCTCCTTTCTTTACACCAGTCTGCTTTTCTGATTTGAGCTTTATTTGACTCCACTGCTCTCTCTCAAACTTCCCTTCAAATTATCAATGCCAGTGTTTTCCTTCAGTTACTGTCTTGTTTTCTTCTTGATTATTCTATTTTCAAATCCATTTATGAACTTACCCTTACTCTTCATGGATCAAGACTTCTTAGAGAGAAGAGCAGTTATTTGAAGAACTGCAGTCGTTAGTCAAATATTTATTGAGAACTTACTATAAGTAAGACATTGCAGGAAAACTCAGATACCCAATGTGTTATCACTACCATTGATAATAACTAATTCTTTTATAATACTAACTATGAATCAGACATTGATCTGTGTGCTTTACAAATGTTAATGCACTTGGCCCTCCCAATATGCCCTATGTTTTAATATATGCAGGTTTTATCATTATAGGTAAGATAGGCCATACGATCAGAAGATTACTGCCATTTAAAAGACAGTTTGTTACTCACAGTTCTCAAGAGAGAATATGCCATGCCATGCCATGGAGGGCCACACAGGGAAGCACCAGGGTTAGTCAAGAGGCAAACAGAGTGGGAGAAAAATCTGGGCAAGAGACTTTATTGTGGTTCCATTGGGAAAAAACAAGTGAGGCACGGTGAGCGGGCTTAGTATTGGCTAGTTTGAATGATTTCAACAGGCTCTGGAGTGCAGTGGCTGTCTGGAGTTGCCTGATACCTGGTCCTGGTGTGATTAGGGCAGGGGAATATTGGCCCAGAGTTGAAGAACTTGATAGAAGAGGTGGGAAAAAGTGTGGGCTATGGACTGGTTAGTTTGCATATGACAGTCATGCTCATAGAAAAGGAAATTGGCTAGCTCTAGGAGAGGAAGTCCCCCCAGGGTCAGTAAGATCCCAGTTGTCCAAATATCAGAATAAAAAGACATACTTAATATATCTTAGAGACAGACATAGCTAGTAGGGGTTTGAGTCCAGGTTCAAAGGTAATAGATCTGGCTCCAGAGTTCACATTCTTAGTTCTATGTCATGTTGCCTCACTAAGTAACTTGGCTTTTTATAGGGGAAGTAAAAAATATGCAATATATATGTGATATCATTGTACTGTAAGAAAAGTAAAAGGGGGCTTCAGAATTAAGAGGTGGGAGACATCAATCAGATTGAAACTCAGGCAAAAATTCAGGAAAGAAGCCATAATTGAGTGTGCATTTAAAGGATAACAGAGATTCCCACAGAAAGGCAGAAATCATTCCAGGCAAAAAGAATTGCTTAAACAAAGCTGTAAAGACTTGAAATCAGTGAATATGATTAAGTTGCTGCAAACCACCCATATAGCATAATGTCACATGCAAAGCTTGAAGGAAATGATATTGAGAAAGTTATTTAAAATCAGGTTTAAGAAAGTCATGAATAAAAGGCTAAGGAATTTGAGCTTATGTATATTACAGGTCTTTGAGCAGGAAAGGTTACATGACCACATGCGCATTTCAGGGGTTAACCTTGACTTAGTGGAAGAAGAATTGGAAAGAGAAGTAGAAGGTGAAAACATCAATTAGGGCGTTATGGAAATAACTCAAGTTATTGAAATAACTCAAATGAAACTTAAGAATAATATCAAGGAGTATTAAGAGCTTGATTCCAAAACCATTGTAAAGATAGAATTAAAAGTATTTTATGTTGAAACTCTGTCATATAAAGTAATGATTAAAGGAATTGTGAATTTTACTATGCAGAAGAGAAAATAAAGGGATAGACTCTCTTGGGTGTTGAGCTAGGCCAGACCTCAGAGGCTGCTCTGGGCTCCAAGGTGGGAGAGAATAAAAACATGGACAGAGCTCATGAATGCTTGTACTCCATCAGTTCAGTTCAGAAGCTGATAACAAGTAGTGAAAAGAAGTCTCAGCTCCATTATGGTTCAGCATGGCACTGTTATTGGAATAAAAAACCTAATTTATAATAAAATAATATGCATTTAAATATGTAAATGCTCAGACAAAGCTATCTCAGGAGAACTGATGATATAGACAGAGCTTTCACCTATTTATAATGAAAACATCTGGATTTAAGAGAGTTGAGTTCAGAATCCCTTCAATACAAGAAATTCAGGAAGGTGAAAGAGTAGCTATCTAGGTCGTCACTAAATAAAAATAAGTCCTAACAGACTAGAATTATCTGTCTATAAGAAAAAGAAAAGAAATAATCTTAATTGAAATAAGGATAACATGCCAAGACAAATTACAGACTTTGGAAACAGAGAAAATGATGAAGTATGATATTAGCACAAATGAGTTGGGCCTTATTTATAAGTGCAGTGTCAAAATTATTCCCAGTATTATGATGGGATAGTGACAAAGAATCTCTGAAAACATATCTCCTGCCTTAAAATTCCTCCACATGTTGAGGCTCACAATCAATCTCTGGCACTTAGAAAGACCCAGGAGACCATATCCTTTGATAATCTATGGGGGAGGTAGGTTGCATTGCAAAAAGAAGTAGTAATACAAGAAACCATAGGAACATTGTGACGGAGACAGAACCTGTGTCAACACTGGGAAAAAAGGCAACCCTCAAAATAAATAATTTCCTTATATAACTTATATAATCTAGATTTCTCATCGTTATTCATTAAAAACTTTAAAATACATGTAATGGCAAGAATATAAAATATAAAAATAAATCTTTATTAATAAAATTCAATTAAATCCCAGCATCTTGTATATTTCCAATAATTTAATAATATTATTTCTAAGTCATAAGAGTCTTAGGTTTCCCTTACTATCTGTCTGTATGCAGCAGCGATATGTGCCAAATAGCACTGGTATGTTATATTGGTGACTCAATTATAATGAGGGGCATTGTTTCGCTGATGTGATTTTCTGAAATGGTGAACAAGTCTCAGAAAACATAGTGCAATATTCCTGTGATTTAAACAGCATTGCAATCTTGAAATTTTTAGTTTATAACTATGAAGAAATACTTTTTGTTGTGATTTGTAAAATTATTTTCTACACTCTCAAATAATTGTAACTTTTTTCCCCCTACATGAATGTTGATGGAATATTTGAAAATCATGCAGCATAATTATCTATTGGGTAAAACTGTCACGTGCATCGCAGGACACCTAGCATCTCTGTCCAGCTCCACTTCTAAATAAAAGCATCATCCTGAAATTTGTATGAAAAATAAAAATGATCACATATTTTAAAAATTCTTTGTGTAAAAAACTACTGCTTTAAGTAATGGTGCTCAATACAAGGGAGATCCCTGCTGTATTGACATGATCAGGAATAGGCTAAAATCTTCTAGCAGAGAAATGGTAGAAAGATTTCAAGTATTGAGTGACTAGTTGGACTAGTTCAAAGTTGAAAAATCAAATGCCTACAGGCATAAGGCAGGTATTAGAAATGTGTGAACTGGGCCAAGAGGAAGACAATAGACAGTTATGTGGTCTGTGACCAGTTGTCCCAGGACCACTTGTTGAAAGATTATTTTTTCCTCATTGAATTGCCTTGGCACCTTGTCAAAAATCAATTGACAGTAAATGTGAGGGATTATTTCTGAACTCTCAGTTCTGTTCCATTTATCTATGTCATCTTTACACCAGTACCACACTGTCTCGATTACTGTAGCTATGTACTAAGTTTTGAAATCAATTAATGTGGACCTTCCACCTTTTTCCTTTATTAAGATTATTTTGGTTATTCTGGGTAACTTGAATTTCTACATAAATTTTAGGATCAGCTTAGAAGCCAGCTGAATTTTGATACGGATTGCATTGAGTTTGTAGATTAATTTCAGGGGACTTGCTATCTTAACAATATTGTCTTCTGATCCATGAACATAGGATGTCTTTCTATTTGTTTAGGTCTTCTTAAATTTCTCTCAACAGTGTTTTGTAGTTTTTAAGTTGTATAATTATTTTGTTAAATTTATTCATAAGTATTTTATTTTTTTCCATCTGGTTGCCTTTTATTTCATGTTCTTGCCAGTTGCCCTGGCTGGGTCCACTTAGCTTTTAAAACTCATCGGTCTTACAACCCATTTCTCTTAGTCATTATTTATTTCCCTGGTTCGATGAAACAAATCACCTAGCTTTCTCTTTCGGCACTCTCCATCTCCTATAATCTTCTGGATCTTTTGTAACTTAATTCTTCAACAAAAACATCCTTAATTAACACTATACCACTATTCCAAAGATTATTTCTATAATCTCCACCACTCTGACACATCCATAATTATAGTGTAAATTGCCATTTATCTTGTTACTGTTTATTATCTGGGACAGATATTCTCATAAAGTCTCATATTAAATTTTAAGCTTTTTTGAGTAGGGTCAAAGTTGAAAAATAAAATGCTTACAGGCACAAGGTAGTGTGTTTTCTACTTTGTTTTCTATTTCAAGCTCTTAAAAAAAATCCTAAAGGAGTCCTGAACACAAAATTCTGGCTCAAAAATGTGTACCATTTGCTTTGCTTTTTTAACTGAGAAGTAGTTCAATGAGATGAGAATCCTGGCTTTGCCGCTTAAATGCTACATAATATTGAGTAATTAATTTACATCCAAGTCTCAGTTTTTCCATCTGTAAAGTAAGAATAACAATGTCTAACCTGATCAATTATAATAAACATTAAAAATTGGCAAGTAAGATATATAGCCTATGGCAGGCTTTGGTAAATGATATTGTGATGGTTAATATTGATGTCAACTTGATTGGATTGAAGGATGCAAAGTATTGTTTCTGGGTGTGTCTGTGAGGGTGTTGCCAAAGGAGATTAACATTTGAGTCAATGGACTGGGAGAGGCAGACCCACCCTCAATCTGGATGGGCACAATCTAATTGTCAGAGATGTTTGAACCAGAGCAACTCCATCTTGAATAAGACCTGGGTAAAATAAGGCTGAGATCTATTGGGCTGCATTCCCAGACGGTTAAGACATTCTAAGTCACAGGATGAGATAGGAGGTCAGCACAAAATACAGGTCATGAAGACCTTGCTGATAAAACAGCTTGCAATAAAGAAGCCAGCTAAAACCCGCCAAAACCAAGATGGCCATGAGAGCGACCTCTGTTGGTCCTTACTGCTACACTACCACCAGGGCCATGAAAGTTTACAAATGCCATGGCAGCATCAGGAAGTTACCCTGTGTGATCTAAAAAGGGGAGGCATGAATGATCCACCTCTTGTTTAGCATATCATCAAGAAATAACCATAAAAATGGGCAACCAGCAGCCCTCGAAACTGCTCCATCTATGGAGTAGCCGTTCTTTTATTCCTTTACTTTCCTAATAAACTTGTTTCCACTTTATGGACTCACCCTGTATTCTTTCTTGCATGAGATCCAAGAACCCTCTCTTGGGGTCTGAATTGGAACCCCTTTCTTGTAACATCTTTCTGGCAACCACGGAAGGGACGATACTAAGGAAACCCTCGACACTAGGCTAACTTTGGGTAAGTGGTGAGGTCTGGTAACATCTTTCTGGTGAATCCTGAAGGGACGATACTGAGGTGATACCCCAACCCAAAGGAAATAGACTGTAGCACTGATTGGACAACTTTGAGTAATTGGGTTACATATAACTGGGTACAGGATGGGATTGGGTTAGAGGCTCAACTTAGGGGAGTTAGAGTATCTCCTAAGGCAGTGTGAGTTAGAGGCCCTTCTTAATAAAAGGCAAGAACGCTTGACCAACCTTGTATTAGATGCCCAACTTAGGAGGGTTAGAGACCCTTCTAAGATTTAAGGGGTTAGAGCCCCTCTCAGTAAAGTCCTTCTCAGCAAAGTCCCTTTTGGCTAAGAATGGGTTGGGGCTATGGGATATTAACTGCTATTCTCTTTGTTGTTGTTGTTGTTGTTTGTTTCTTTTCCATACATTATTGGGGTTCAGGTGGTGTTTGGTTATGTGAGTAAGTTCTTTAGTGGTGATTTGAGATTTTGGTGCACCCATCACCCAAGCAGTATACACCATACCCTATTTGTAGTCTTTCATCCCTGGCCCCCTTCCCACCCTTTCCCCCAAGTCCCCAAAGTCCATTGTCTCATTTTTATGCCTTTGCATACTCATAGCTTAGCTCCATCATATCAGTGAGAACATAGGATGTTTGGTTTTCCATTCCTGAGTGACTTCACTTAGAATAATAGTCTCCAATATCATCCAGGTCGCTGTGAATGCCATTAATTCATTCCTTTTATGGCTAAGTAGTATTCCATCATATATATGTACCACAGTTTCTTTATCCACTTGTTGATTGATGGGCATTTGAGTTGGTTCCATGATCTTGCAATAGCGAATTGTGGTGCTATAAACATGCTTATGCAAGTATCATTTTCGTATAATGACTACTTTTCCTCTGGGTAGATAACTAGCGGTGGGATTGCTGGATCAAATGGTAGTTCTACTTTTAGTTCTTTAAGGAATCTCCATATAGTTTTCCATAGTGGCTGTACTAGTTTACATTACTGCCAGCAGTGTAGAAGTGTTCCCTGATGACCATATTCACGCCAACATCTATTGTTTTTTTTTTTTTTTTTGATTATGGCCATTCTTGCAGGAGTAAGGTGGTATCACATTGTGGTTTTGATTTGCATTTCCCTGATCATTAGCAATGTTGAGCATTGTTTATATGTTTCTTGGCCATTTGTATATCTTCTTTTGAGAATTGTCTATTCATGTCCTTAGGCCTCTTTTTGATAGGATTTTTTTCTTGCTGACATGTTTGAGTTTGTTGTAGTTTCTAGATATTAGTCCTTTCTCAGATGTGCAGATTGTGAAGATTTTCTCCCACTCTGTGGGTTGTCTGTTTACTGTCCTGACTGTTCCTCTACCAAAACCAAAAAAGGACATAACCAAAAAACAAAACTACAGACCAATATCCCTGATAAACATAGATGCTAAAATTTTTAACCAAATACTAGCTAACTGAATTCAACAACATGTCAAAAAGATAATTCACCATGATCAAGTGGGTTTCATGCCAGGGATGCAGGATGGTTTAACATATGCAAGTCAATAAATGTGATACACCACATAAACATAATTAAAAACAAAAATCACATGATTATCTCAATAGATGCAGAAAAAGCATTAGACAAAATCCAGCATTCCTTTATGATTAAAACTGACAGCAAAATCAGCATACAAGGGACATGCCCCAATGTAATAAAAGCCACCTATGACAAACCCACTGAATGGGGAAAAATTGAAAGCATTCCCTCGGAGAACTGGAACAAGACAAAGATGCCCACTCTCACCACTCCTCTTCAACATAGTACGGGAAGTCTTAGCAACAGCAATCAGACAAGAGAAAGAAATAAAGCCATCTAAATCAGTAAAGAGGAAGTCAAACTGTCACTGTCTGCTGGTGACATGATCATTTACCTCAAAAACCCTCAAGACTCCTCCAGAAAGCTCCTAGAACTGATAAAATAATTCAGCAAAGCTTCTGGATACAAGATTAATGTACAAAAACCAGTAGCTCTTCTATATGCCAACAGTGACCAAGTGGAGAATCAAATCAAGACCTCAACCCCTTTTACAATAGCTGCTAAAATAAAATAAATAAAATACTTATGAATATACCTAACCAAGGAGGTGAAAGACCTCTACAAGGAAAACTACAAAACACTGCTGAAAGAAATCACAGACAACACAAACAAATGGAAACACATGCTCATGGAAGGGCAGAATTAATATTGTGAAAATGCCCATACGGCCAAAAGCAATCTACAAATTCAACACAATTCCCATCAAAATACCACCATCATTCTTCATAGAATTAGAAAAATAATTCTAAACTTCATACGGAACCACCCCACCCCCACAAAAAAAGCCCTCACAGCCAAAGCAAGACTAAGTAAAAAGAACAAATTTGGAGGCATCACACTACCTGATTTCAAGCTATACTATAAGGCCATAGTCACCAAAACAGCATGGTACTGGTATAAAAATAGGCACATAGACCAATGGAACAGAATAGAGAATCCAGAAATAAACCCAAATGCTTACAGTCAACTGATCTTCGACAAAGCAAACACAAACATAAGTGGGGAAAGGACACCCTTTTCAACAAATGATGCTGGGATAATTGGCTAGCTACATGTAGGAGAATGAAACTGCATCCTCATCTCTCACCTTATACAAAAATCAACTCAAGGTGGATTAAGGGCTTAAATCTAAGACCTGAAACTATAAAAATTTTAGGAGATGACATTGGAAAAACCCTTCTAGACATTGGCTTAGGCAAAGATTTCATGACCAAGATCCCAAAAGCTAATGCAATAAAAACAAAGATAAATAGCTGGGACTTAATTAAATTGCTACTCTGTTTGAAATAATCTGCCTTGCACTCTTTGCTGACAGCTGTAGGTGATAGAATTGGCATGAACAGGATCATGGGACATAGGGAGCTTTTTCCTCACCAAAAAGGGGAAACTTGAATGCTGATGGGACTGCTGGAAAAGATCCCTTCACTATCAACAAGTAGCCACCTGCAATTTTTAGTGTCCCTGCAATGGGTAGGTCTTTCTCTGGCATCTCTGAGCACCTCACCTTCCCCACCCTGCCTCAGGCAATGCTTTCCTCTCCCTCTCTCTCTGTGTGCAAACTGGTTGAATGGTAAAAATCACTGTTTATCTCCTCTGCAAAGTTTTAATTAATTGGAAAAAGGATTTGCGAAACTAGTCTTAAGCTATAACAAATCTGTTGTACTTTGTGCTATTGTATTAGTCCATTTTCACGCTGCTGATAAAGACATACTTGAGACTCGGAAGAAAAAGAGCACTTACAGTTCCACATGGCTGGGAAAGCCTCAGAATCATGACAGAAGGTGAAAGGTACTTTTTACATCATGTCAGCAAGAGAAAATGAGGAAGAAGCAAAAGCAGAAACCCGTGATAAACTCATCAGATCTCGTGAGGCTTATTCACTATCACCAGAATAGCATGGGAAAGACCAGCCCCCATGATTAAATTATCTCCCCCTGGGTCTCCCAGAATTCCCACATATTGTGGGAATTCTGGGAGATACAATTCGAGTTCATATTTGAATGGGGACACAGCCAAACCATATTATTCTACCCCTGCCCCCTCCAATCTTATGTCCTCACATTTCAAAACCAATCATGCCTTCCCAACAGGCCCCCAAAATCTTAACTCATTTCAGTAGTAACCCAAAAGTCCCTTCTGCCTATGAGCCTGTAAAATAAAAAACAAGCTAGTTACTTCCTAGATACCATGGGGGTACAGGTATTGGGTAAATACAGCCATTCCAAATGGGAGAAATTGGCCAAAACAACGGAGTTACAGGGCCCTTGCAAGTCTGGAATCCAGCAGGACAGCCAGATTTTAAAGCGTCAGAATGATCTCCTTTGACCCCAGGTCTCACATCCAGGTCAAGCTGATGCAACAGGTGGGTTCCCATGGTGTTGGGCAGCTTCGGCCCTGTGACTTTGTAGGGTACAGCCTCCCTCCTGGCTGCTTTCACGGACTGGCATTGAGTGTCTGTGGCTTTTCCAGGTGCACAGTGCAAGCTGTTGGTGTATCTACACTTCTGGAGTCTGGAGGATGGTGACCCTCTTCTCACAGCTCCTCTAGGCAGTGTCCTAGTAGGAACTCTGTGTGGGGGCTCCAACCCTACATTCCCCTTCCGCACTCCCCTCTCCATGAGGGGCCCGCCCCTGCAGCAAACTTTTGCCTGGGCAACCAGGCATTTCCATACATCTGAAGTCTTCTGAAATCTGAGGTTTCCAAACCTCAGTTATTGACTTCTGTTCACCCACAGGCTCAACAACATGTGGAAACTGCCAAGGCTTGAGGCTTCCACTTGGAGTGGCTGGGACACAGGGTACTAAGTCCCTAGGCTGCACACAGCATGAGGACCCTGGGGCCAGCCCACAAAATAACTTTTTCCTCCTGGGTCTCTGGCCTGCTATGGGAGAGGCTGCCGTGAAAGTCTCTGACATGGCCTGGAGACATTTTCCCCATGGTCTTGGGGAGTCACATTAGGTTCCTTGCCACTTATGCAAATTTCTGCAGCTGTTTGAATTTTTCCTTAAAAAATGGGTTTTTCTATTCTAATACATGGTCAGGCTGCAAATTTTTGAACTTTTATGCTGTTTCCCTTTTAAAATGGAATACGTTTCACAGCACCCAAGTCACCTTTTGAATGCTTTGCTGCTTAGAAATTTCTTCTGCCAGATACCCTAAATCATATCTCTCAAGTTCAAAGTTTCACAAATTTCTAGGGCAGGGGCAAAGTGTCACCAGTCTCTTTGTTAAAACATAACAAAAGCCACCTTTGCTCCAGTTCCCAACAGCTCCCCATCTCCATCTGAGACCACCTCAGCCTGGACCTTATTGTTCATATCGCTATCAACATTTTTGTCAAAGCCATTCAACAAGTCTCTAGGAGGTTCCAAACTTGGTCACATTTTCCTGTCTTCTTCTGAGCCTTCCAAACTGTTCCAACTGTTCAAACTGGGTAACTGCCTTCCAAAGTTTTGGGTATGTTTTCAGCAACACCCCACTCTACTGGTACCAATTTACTGAATTAGTCTGTTTTCACACTGCTGATAAAGATGTACCTGAGACTGGGAAGAAAAAGAGGTTTAATTGGACTTACAGTTCCACATGGCTGGGGAGGGCTCAGAATCATGGTGAGAGGTGAAAGGCACTTCTTACATCATGGCAGCAAGAGAAACTGGGGAAGAAGCAAATGCAGAAACCCCTGATAAACCCATCATATCTCATGAGACTTACTCACTATCACAAGAATAGCACGGAAAAGACAGAACCCAGGATCCAATTACCTCCCCCTGGGTCCCTCCCACAACACGTAGCAATTCTGGGAGATACAATTCAAGTTCAGATCTGAATGGGGACACATCCCTATTTTGGTCCTCCAGTTAAAGTAGGGACTTATGGAGGTTAGGTAATTAACAGAGTTTTAGCTCAGGTCCAACTTACAGTGGATCCAGTGGGTCCTTGGACTCATCCTGTGGTCATTTCCCTAGTGCCAGAATGCATAACTGGCATAGACACACTTAGCAGCAGCTGGAAGAATCCCTACATTGGCTCCCTGACTGGTAGGGTGAGGGCTGTTATGGTGGGAAAGGCCAAATAGAAGCCATTAGAGCTGCCTCTACCTAGAATAATAGTAAATCAAAAACAATATTGCACCCTTGGAGGGATTGCAGAGATTAGTGCCAACATCAAAGACTTGAAAGACACAGGGGTGGTTATTCCCACCATATCCCCATTCAACTCTCCTATTTGGCCTGTGCAGAAGACAGATGGATCTTGGATAATGACAATGGATTATCTTAAGTGTAACCAAGTGGTGACTCCAATTGCAGCTGCTGTACCAGATGTGGTTTTATTGCTTGAGCAAATTAACACATCTCTTGGTACCTGGTATGCAGCCATTGATTTAGCAAATGCCTTTTTCTCTATTCGTGTCCATAAGGCCCACCAGAAGCAATTTGCATTTGGCTGGCAAGGCCAGGAATATACCTTCACTGTCCTATCTCAGGGGTATATCAACTCTCCAGCTTTGTGTCATAATCTTGTTCAGAGAGATCTTGATCACTTTTCACTTCCACAAGATATCACACTATTCCATTACATTGATGACATTATGTTGATTGGATCCAGTGAGCAAGAAGTAGTAAACACACTGAACTTATTGGTGAGACATTTGTGTGCCAGGAGATGGAAAATGAATCCAACTAAAATTCAGGGCCTTCTAGCTTAGTAAAATTACTAGGGGTCCAATGGTGTGGGGCCTGTTGAGATATTCCTTCTAAGGGGAAGGAAAAGTTGTTGCATTTGGCCCCTACTACAACCAAGAAAGAGGCATAATGCCTAGTGGGCCTCTTTGGATTTTGCAGGCAACACATTCCTCATTTTAGTGTGTTACTCTGGCCCATTTATTGAGTGACTGGAAAGGCTTGAGTGGGGTTCACAACAAGAGAAGGCTCTGCAACAGGTCCAGGCTGCTAGGCAAGCTGCTCTGCCACTTGGGCCATATGACCCAGCAGATCCAATGGAGCTTGAGGTCAGAGGTAAATAGGGATGCTATTTGGAGCCTTGGTAGGCCTTCATAGATGAATCACAGCAGAGGCCTCTAGGATTTTGGAGCAAGGCTCTGCCATCTTCTGCATATAACTACTCTCCTATTAAGAGACAGCTCTTGGCCTGTCACTGGGCTTTGGTAGTAATTGAACGTTTGACTATGGGTCATCAAGTCACCATATGACCTAAACTGCCTATCATGAACTGGGTGCCTTCTGACCTATCTAGCCATGAAGTGGGGCATGCACAGCAGCATTCCATCATCAGATGGAAGTGATATATATGTGATCAGGCTCAAGCAGGACCTGATGGCACAAGTAAGTTACATGAGGAAGTGGCTCAAATGCCCATGTTCCCCACTCCTGCCACCCTGCCTTCTTTCCCCCAGCCTGCACCAGTGGCCTCATGGGGAGTTCCCTATGATCAATTGACAGAGGAAGAGAAGACTAGGGCCTGGCTCACAGATGGTTCTGCACAATATGCAGGCAACACCTGAAAGGGGACAGCTGTAGCACTACAGCCCCTATCTAGGACATCCCTGAAGGACAGTAGAGAAGAGAAATCTTCCCAGTGGACAGAACTCAGACAGTGTACCTGGTTGTGTACTTTGATTGGAAGGAGAAATAGCCAGATGTGTGATTATATACTGATTCATGAGCTGTATTCACTGGTTTGGCTGGAAGGTCAGGGACTTTGAAGAAGCATGATTGGAAAATTGGTGACAAAGAAATTTGGGGAAGAGCTATGTGGATGGACCTCTTTGAGTGGTCAAAAACTGAAGATATTTGTATTTCATGTGAGTGCTCACGAACAGGTGGCCTCAGCAGAGGAGGATTTTAATAATCAAGTGGATAGGATGATTCGTTCCATGGACACCACTCAGCCTCTTTCCCTAGTCATCCCTGTGATCACCCAATGGGCCCATTAACAAAATGGCCATTGTAGTAGGAATGGAGGTTACGCATGAGCTCAGCAACATGGACTTTCACTCACCAAGGCTGACCTGGCTATGGCCACCGCTGAATGCCCAATTTGCCAGCAGCAGCAGAGACCAACAACTGAGTCCTCGATATGGCACAATTCCTTGGGGTGTTTAGCCAGCCATTTGGTGGCAGGTTGATTATACTGGACCTCTTGCATCATGGAAAAGGTGGCTGTTTGTCCTCACCAGAATAAACGCTTATTCTGGATATGGGTTTGCATATCTTTCATGCAATGCTTCTGCCAAGACTGCCATCTGTGAACTCACAGAATGCCTTATCCACTGTCATGGTATTCCACACAGCATTGCCTCTGACCAAGGCACTCACTTTATGGCTAAATAAATGCAGCAGTGGGCTCATGCTCATGGAATTCACTGGTCTTACCATGTTCCCCATCAACCTGAAGCAGCTGGATTGATAGAATGGTGGAGCGGTCTTTTGAAGTCACAATTACAACGCCAACTAGGTGACAATACTTTGCAGGGCTGGGACAAAGTTCTCCAGAAGGCTGTGTATGCTCTGAATCAATGTCCAATATATGGTACTGTTTCTTGAATAGGATTCATGGGTCCAGGAATCAAGGGGTGGAAGTAGAAATAGCACCACTCACCATCACCTCTAGTGACCCACAGGCAAAATTTTTGCTTCCTGTTCCTGTGACATTAGGTTCTGTTGGCCTAGATATCTTAGCTCCAGAGGGAGGAATGCTACCACCAGGAGACACAACAATGATTCCATTAAACTGGAAGTTAAGATAGCCACCTGGACACTTTGGGCTCCTCCTACCTCTGAGTCAACAGGCTAAGAAGGGAGCTACAGTGTTGGCTGGAGTGATTGACCCAGAATATCAAGATGAAATCAGTCTACTTCTCCACAATGGAGGTAAGAAAGAGTATGCATGGAATTCAGGAGATCCTTTAGGACATCTCTTAGTATTACCATGCCCTGTGATTAAGGTCAATGGGAAACTACAACAGTCCAATCCAGGCAGGACTACAAATGGCCCAGACCCTTCGGGAAAGAAGGTTTGGGTCACTCCAATAGGTAAAAAACCATGACCTGCTGAGGTGCTTGCTGAAGGCAAAGGGAATACAGAATGGGTGGTAGAAGAAGGGAGTCATCAATACCAGCTATGGCCACGTGACAAGTTGCAGAAACGAGGACTGTAATCGTCATGAATATTTCCTACTTATTTTGTTAAGAATATGTTTGTGCATGTATACACTCGTACTAAGAAAATGGCTTCATTTTATTTCCTTTTTCCTTTATCATGTGACATAAGATTTATTGACTTCATTTCAGCATTTAAGTGTTGTTAATTTTATGAAAGAGCATTTAGGTTAAGGATTAGTACGCTTCTGGTTGTACGAAGGATAGCCATATTATGTAAGGCATAATTATGACCTTATTATTGTCTTCATTTGAAGATTATGTATGATTTCAGGAGCTGTATAGGGGTTCAAATGGACAAGGAGTGGACTTGTGATGGTTAATACTGTCAACTTGATTGGATTGAAGGATGCAAAGTATTGTTCCTGGGTATATCTGTGAGGGTGTTGCCAAAAGAGATTAACATTTGAGTCAGTGGACTGGGAGAGACAGACCAATCCTCAATCGGGTGGGCACCATCTAATCAGCTGCCAGCACAGCTAGAATAAAGCAGGCAGAAGTTGGAAGGACTTGACTTGCTAAGTCTTCAGGCCTTCATTTTTCTCCCATGCTGGGTGCTTCCTGCCCTTGAACATCAGATTTCAAGTTCTTCAGCTTTTGGACTCTTGGACTTACACCAGTGGTTTTCCAGGGTCCCTTGGGCCTTTGGCCACAGACTGAAGGCTGCACTGTCGGCTTCCCTACTTTTGAGGTTTTGGGACAAGGACTGATCCACCTTTGGCTTCCTTGCTCTTCAACTTGTAGACGGCGTATCATGGGACTTTACCTTTTGATCATGTGAGTCAATTTTCCTAATAAACTCCCCTTTTTATATACATATATCCTATTAGTTCTGTCCCTTTAGAGAATCCTGACTAATACAGGCATTAACATTCATTCTTTATAAAAGCAGTGTGGTAATTAATAAAAACCTAAGCTTAGAGTTTTTCTTTTAGAAATAAAGAAAATAGGAAAATTGCAATTTTAAATAGATATAAAAGTTATTTAGGATTCTGATTATTTTATTTCCATGTCATATCTAAGTTTCTCCATCAGTGCCATGTTCTCCTTGGATCCTTTCATCATTTATTTCAGGAGGAATACAGAGCATGAACCAGAAAGTATGACACCTTCCCCCCATCTTCTTGCTTATTTTATAAGATTTCTGGCATCTTACATTGCAAAACAGACAAAAAACATCAAGAGAAAATGTATTGAAAGTCAATATTTAATGTCAGTTATAGCAAAGTTTAAAGGACTCTACTCTAAGTCATTGATTCATTTGAAATGAAGTGGGAAACTTGGGAAGCTATATTTATTGTTACTAGTTTTGTATTTTGTACTAGTTAGCCAGAGAAAAATAATGCAAAATGTTGTATGTTGCTTGATTTTTTTCTGTTTCACAAATGACTGAAATAATTCTTTGTAAACATTTTTAAAAATATTTTAAAAAATTCTAAAAACCAGTAAAGTCTAATTAGAAAAAATATCAAGTAAAAAGCAGTATTTCCTCTTCTTGAGCTTTATTAAAGCAGAGATTCCTTAACTATAACCAACTTTGTCAAGGAAATATTTATTTTAAATAAATATATTACATCCTAAATACAGCAAGGCAACAGATGTATCAGAGTGAATTAAAAAGTGGCACATTCTTGGGCTTCTCCCTGGCAGTTATATTTTTGGCTTTGCCCTCTGTGAGTGATGGAATAATTTCTAGTCTTTACAGAGATTTTTTTTTAAAGTCACAAAAGTCAGAAAGGTTATTTCATATGTAGTAAGGAAATTATGTGTATCATCATAGAGTCTAGCCAGGAAACAGAAACCACCTGAGTAGTTAAAAAGACTTTAATGGAGAAAATTGATTCCCTGGGTGATGAAAGAGCTGAGAAACCAAAGAGAGGACAGTGGGCCAATGGAAAGATCCCTAACAGCAGGAAGCCAACCTGACCCATGACTGAAGGGATAAAGAGTGAACGCAGTGTTACTGGCACTAGTGGAAGCTGGAACCATAGCTGGTTTGCCTGCCAAGAGCTGGATTCATGAGGCTGTTGGAAGGCAGGGGAAGAAAAGAGATACCCTGGCTTCTTCCACCCCACCACCTCCTCCATAATCTATTTGAAGCCACTGAGCCTGGGAAACATAGCCGCAGAGGTTGGTGTCCCTTGATGCAGAGCAAGGGGAAGGCAGGGAAAGGATGAGAGGGCAAACAGGTCCAGAATGTTCTTATCATGGAATTGCCTACTAAAGTAGAAAAGATGTGAGGGAGTCAGGGAGGGGCTGGTGTTGAAGAAAGGCAACGTGGAATGAATCTGGCCATCTATGTTTTGGTAGAGGACATGAAATGGACCCTGTTAGTTTTGTTTACTCTTTTGTAAGAGAAGAATCAACATATATTGGACTGAGATGAGCTATTCTGCTTCTTGATTTTGTATTACATACTAGATTTATCAATGCTACTATCATCTTACATTTTTAGTTAGACACCTGGGGGCAGGGACCATAATCTGCATCTGTTTTACCACAAACTTTTAGTATCCCACTATGATGTCATGATATTCTAGTGGTGTGTATAAACATAACATACAAACACACATTTTTAAATAACAGAGACATGATAGAACATAAAATATGATGGCTACAGGAATCAGTGATGCAAATTCTGAAACATAAGTAGCAACCTAATGTTCTGTGAGAGCGTAAAATTCCAACCTATTCATCAAGACAATTTTAATAAAATAACGACTTCTATGGCTTGATGGGAGACCTATTACAATGAGGTCAGATTTTGCTTCCCAGACTATTTTGGTCAAGAGGCCACATGTTAGCCACTGATGGATTTGCTGAAGCCAACAAAAAGAAGTTGAACAGGAGACAGGAGAGTGTCTGACTAAAGTAGATCATGAGTGAGGGTAGCAAAGGGATCTTTAGGGCCTCTGGGAAACACCAGCTAGTTCCTGTTCACTGAAGTTCAAGAATGAACTGTGCAAAACCATTAAGGGTATATTATTACCCTTCATCTGATCTTGACAAGAGAATTTTTGGTGATAAAAAAAGAAAAAAGACAGACTGATTAAGCTGCATCTGGGTTAACTTTCCTAAATAGCAAGTTGGCAGACAGCCTGGAAACAATGTAAATTCTGCTTCATTAAAATTAAAATCACAGTTGATTTTTTTCTACCTAGCTGGCTATTGGGAAATAAAATGTCAAGGGTTGCATGGTTTATGTAAAAGAGCACATAGTAAACCTGCACAAAAATTCCTATAGATGGGACTGGAGGCAACCATGTAAACTCTGTAGAAGAATGGGTGGCTGAGAGGAACAGCGACAAGTACTGGCCCCCTCCAGAGGTCCCGTATACTCATGAAATGATGTTCTAAAAAGGTCAAGAAAAGAGGTTTGCTAATAAGCTTTTTTTTTGAAAGGAAAATAACAGCTGACTTGTATATTAAATAATTAAATAAACATAATACAGTTTTCATTGACCAAAAATTGGCACATAAGAGTTTTTTTGTATAAACATTTTTTTCTCCCACGATGAAACTTGAAACTCAAGGGAGCACTTTGCAAGAAAAATGACAATGTAATATTTTCTCTATCAACTTTGAATAAAAGCCAAATAAATTAAGTCACAACGTGTGTCTACGGCATCAAATGTATATTGATTAACTCTTTCTAGAAAAAGCCTAAAGGCAAAGAAAAAAGTCAAAATTGACTGAGTTTTAGGTCAATGTATCCAGTAATATTCTGGGATGAAGTCAAGATAGGAAAATTGTGAAGATGAGTTCATGAGAGAAAGGTAAAATGTGTTTATTTAGTATATGCAAATAAAAATGTCTAATACGTAGTTAAAATATAGGATTGGCTCGTTCTTTTTCATGGTATTTCAGAGGGAAGTACCTCTTCAGAGTGAACATGAATGTTTCCCTCTCAGTCACTAGCTGCTAGAAACGCACTGAAATGGACAGTGAACACAAACATCATACCTTTTATGAGAAGCGTATGGCCATAGAAGTTGCTGTTAATGCTGACTGCAGAGTGAAAAGCTTATGTCATCTGAATCAGTGATGGGAACTGCAAACAAAGTTTCCCCATGAAGCAGAATGTCTTGACCCATGGCTGTGTTTGCTGCTACTAAGTAAGGAGTGTTCCTATCACATGGCAAGGTGAACTGGAGAAAGTACAAATATATTTGAGGTTGCATTGTGGATGTCAATTTGAGTGCTCTTAATTTGGTTATTGTGAAAAAAAAAAAAAAAGTCGGGAGAGAGAAGGATATTCTTGGACTGACTGATAATACTATGCCTCATCACCTAGGGCCCAAAAGAGCTAGCAGAATCTGATAAGTTTTCAAATATCTGTAAAAAGATGATACCTACCATAGGTTGTGAGAAAGTCCCTAAACAAAGAAGGTAAGGAACTCAGGACCAGACTGCCCAGGATTCAGCATCCTGTTATTCCATGTGTCCTGCATCACAAAACATCCACATATTGCTCTGAAGACACAGCTTGCTAAGAAAAATAAGTAAGAGGCTGCAGAATATGCTAAACTTTTGACCAAGAGAATGGGAAACCAAAGAGAAATGCCAGGAACAGGTCCCTGAGAAGCAGAGGCTGTTCTCTCTGAGAGCTTCTACCCTGACCTTGAATCCAGTAAAAAATAAGATTTTCTAAGAGTAGCAAATAAATAAGATCAGATAATTTTTGAAATGAAAAACACAGGAAGTTTAGGTAAAAGTCAGTAGTAAAAATGTAGGTTTTTTTTCAAACACAAATATCATAACTAAGGTTAAAGGATAAAGAATGGGAAAAGAGGTTAATGGCACATATAAGAGAGGATTATCTTTCAGTAAGCTTTTACAAGTTAATAAGAAAAAGACAAAGACTATGATACAGGAACTTCACAGTGGTATAAATAAAAATGACCAATAACACCATGAAAAGATGTTCAGTCCCCTAGCAGCCAAGGGTATGCATATTGAAAGCATTTTATACCTTTCAAGTTAGCAAAACAAAAATGTAATTTGATACTGTATAGACAAGTTCAAGTGGCCATATGTCACTTGAACTAGGCTTGCTTGAGTAGCATTTCTTGGGGAATACTCAGGTGGCAGGAGCAATAGCAGGGGCTGTGGGGCACTACACAGCAGCCTAGTAGAGCTTAACTCTCAGGTCTGGGAAAAGACTCAGATCTTTGGGCTGTGATGCTTTTATGTTGCGGGATTAGGGAAACATCAACTTCATCCCAGGATGCGGGGCAGGTGGGCATTAAATGCCAGGATTCAACAGCAAGGTGATATGGAGAACCATTGTTAGAGCTTTAAGCTGATAGTTTGGTGTTCTTGTTTGGGAATAATGTCAGCCCCTTTCTTGGGAATTAGGTAGGAGGGATATCAGCCTCACACTTAGAGCTGCACATTGTGGTAAGTTAGCAAAAAATTCACCCCATCCACCTTCATGGCTGTGGAAGCATTGGCCTCTCAGTTGGCATGATGGGGTGAGGAAATAGGGACCAAGCTTTGAGACTGACAGGTATTGATTGCCCTAAACAAAGACTGTATAGCCAATTTCCATGGGGCCTTGCAGAAGTCCACGTCTCTCTTCAGAAAGCCAGAATATAGGGGAATTTAACTTGGACAAATTAATCCTTATTTCTCACAACGGTTAGCAAGAGTATGGAGGCCATGCTAGTCCCATACAACACAAACAGGGGTTTTAAATTTTACAGATGTTTTGGGAGTGAAGAGAACTACTCCCTAGTCTCAGACAATATTCCAAGGAGATTGCAGACTCCAAAGAGGAATAACTACAATTTTCCTACTCTCCAGACATCTCCAGAGGTCACGTTTAAAGTATGATTTTAAAAAGCTGTAGAGTTACGTTGGCCTGATGGACTGTGTGGCTTGCACAATGGACATTTCAGTAAAAACTAGTGGAGACAGATAACCAATGTCCACAGGATCACCAGAATACCTTCCAACTTGTTTATAATATTAGATCCCTGGTGCAACCTTGGAGTGGAAGAGATTCAAGAACAACAGATAATGTTGCCCAATAGCCCAATGGGAAGGGGAACTGAGCTGAGTCTGAAAAAAATCAAGAACTGCTTTATTTCTTATACAAAAAATACAAGTTAAATTCCAAGAAAATGTTATTTTACTTTATCTTTTGACACTTTATGTCCCATTCTGGAGGAATGAATATAATTTTATGATTTGCTAATGTGTCATACTGGCCATGAGCATTCAAAGTGAAACCAACCAGGTTTCAAATTACTCTACAATTGAGTGACTGAGATATGATTTTTAATCTTTTAAGACTTCATTTCTACAAGTATAAAATAGAGATTATCTATTAGTTTAATTAATCATTAAGATTAGTGAGACAATGTTTTATAAAGCTTTTGGCACAGTGCTCCTAATCAGTGGGACTTTAAGAGTGCTTTAAGGGCAATATTCCTATTATGGAAGACTGAGAAAACAGAAGAAAGGGGGAAAGAACAGCAAAAACTCGATTACTCCAGCATAGTGCAATCTTTTGGACAATTTACTTTTACAGTGGAATTTTTACTTTTGGGGATTGTTTTGTTGTAGTTGTGCCTGTTTTCGTGAGGGTAGAGACTATGAACCTCAGCACTTAATCAGTGAAAAAAAATATTGCGTGAATGAGTCAGTCAATACATTGGAGCTAATCTGCGGGGGTTTTTTTCCCCACTTTTTCATTTTATAATAAAATGCTAGAAATTTTCAAATAGACACGAATGTTCTTTAAAAAAGATTTTTTATGTAATTTTCAACCAATCAAGATTTTCATTTTAAGTTGTCTACACTATTACTTCAAAATATCCCAAAAGTGTGATTAGGCAGCCTCAAATATGTGAAGATTATTTCTCAACTCATTTTAAAGCACTCAAACTTCAAGTATTTCATTATTACTCCTAATATGTGTAAATAAAGTAAATTTTTACATGAATTTTACTGAGAATCAAATTGCTTTCTACATATGAAAAGTCAATTTCTCCTTTCTGTCTCTTTAAAAATAATATGGCAATATACATGTGGAATTGCTAGCTTACTTAAGATTCTTCAAATCGATGTTTTTTTCTCCAAGAATTTTCTAATAGTCTCTCAAATCCCTAAAATTATTTCTTTAGCAAGAGGCAAATCATTGATTTCCATTATGTTTTTGTACTTGCCTAGGTAGAGTTTATTTCCTTCTTGTTGTTAGTAAGAGAATGACTCAAAAGCAGCTCATGTCACTTATCTCCTGGCTCAGTATTCATTTGCAATTTCTGTGATGTGGACAAGAGAATGCTGACTAATTTAAAAACATAGAATATATATAAACTGAATCTAGGGGAATTAGGGCAATCTCTAGAAGACATGCTGGGCCTCTGATGGGAATATCTGCAGCTGTTGACGCATCTCTTGCTACTCTTTTTCTTCTCCTCTCACACATACCCTGACTACATCTTTCCACAGCAACCAGTCAGGCTTTCTTCTCCTTCCTCTGGATTAATAATTACTTTGCACCCCCGTGAGATTCACTTTTCCCCAGATTCTTAAAGTAAGTCTCAATAATAACATAGACAAAATTGACATGCATAAATATCATTGATCCATGAATTATTCACTTTCCTTCTTCACTTATTAATGTGTCTGGTTATTTTACCTGCAATTAGCTGCTGCGACAAAAGATTCTTGGGGCAAGAAAATACAAATTAAATTGTGGTTTTAGTTTTCATCATTGAATTTTGATTGAATAAAAACCCAAAGTTTTATATACTTAGAGAAAGCACTCTTAGAATTTCCTTCTGCAGAATATATCCGAGTAACACTTGAAATTAACCGGCTCATATCAGAAATATTGGAAAACAAAAAGTATATAAAAAGACAGTTTTATCTCTATAGTAGAAGCTGTTTCTTTATAATAAATAACTTGAAAAAAATTTAAAAACTAAAAGTTAATGAACTAATCTTTTGAATCGTCTTCATTTAAGACATGGAATTAAGCAAACTTCCTTCAATATTCCTTCAAGCCGATTGCCCTTCATCATCTTTATTAATATCATTTGAATGTTTAGTTTCATTTAATATTAAAATATTATTTTGAACATTTAGTACTTTTTCTTAAAAATCACTTTGACATTTGTGTTGTGGATTGTAATTACAATAATTTTTTGTATCACTGCCTGTTTCACTGAATGCATACAATGCTAATCAAAAGTCATGTTGACACTGGGCTGCTTCATTCTTCAATTCTTAATTCTGATTCCTTTCTCAGTTTTTATGTATTTCTTTTAAAGGTAACTTTTTTTCAGGAAGATTATTTGAATTAATAGACTTTCAAATACTTTTTAAAATTGATATTAATGATCGTATTTATTTATGGGGTAGAGTGTGATGTTTCAAAACATGTTTACATTGTATAATAACCAAATCAGGGTATTTAGCATATTTATCAACTCATACATTTATCATTTCTTTGTGGTGAGAACAAGTTATTCTGAAATATATAATATTGTTAACCATAGCCACCCTATTATGCAATATAAAACATGAGAACTTATTTCTCCTGTCTAACTGTAACTTTGTTCCAGAAATTATTCCTCTCCTCTAACTGCAACTTGTCTCCATTGGCCAATCATTCTCTACTCCCCTAACTCTGGTAACTACTATTCTACTCTGCACTTCTGAGATCACCTTGCTTAGATTCCACATATGAGTAAGATTATGTAGTATTTGTCTTTCTGTTCTGGCTTATTTCACTTAACATAATGTCCTTCAAGTACATCCATGTCACCACAAATTCCAAGATTTCATTCTTTTTATGGCAGAATAGCACTCCATTGTATATAGATACCCATATTTTCTTTATCCATTAATAGACACCGAGGTTGATTCTATATCTTGGCAATTGTGAATAGTTTTGTAATAAACATGGAGTGCAAATATCTCTTCAACATACTAATACTATTTCCTTTGAACATATATCCAATAATGCAGTTGCTGGATTATATGGTAATTCTATTTTTAATTTTTTGAGAAACTGTCATACTGTTTCCTATAATGGCAGTACTAATTCACATTCACATCAAGAGTGTATGGGTTCCCTTTATTCTATATCCACATCAGCATTTGTTATATTTTGTCTTTTTAATAACAACTATTCTAATTAGTTGAAGTGATATCCCACTGTGGTTTTGAATTGCATTTCCATGATGGTTAGTGATATTGAGCATTTTTTCATAAACCTATGGATGATTTGTGTATCTTCTTTTGAGAAATGTGTATTTGAGCTTTTTGTCCATTTTAAAATCAGATTTCCTTTTTTGAGTTGCTTGAGTTCCTTATATATTCTGACTATTAGTCCCTTGTCGTATACATAGTATTTGACACATTATGTAGGTTGTCATACATGGCTTTTATTGTTTTGACGTATGTTCCTTCTATACCTAGTTTATTGAGGTTTTTATCATGAAGTGATGTTGAATTTTATCAAGCGCTTTTTCTGGATCGATTGGAATGATCATGTGATTTCTGTCCTTGATTCTCTTAATGTGCTGTCACATTTATTGATTTGAATATATTGAACCAATCTTGCATGCCTGAATGAATCCTTCTTGATCATGGTAAATGATCTTTTTACTATGCTGTTGAATTTAGTCTACAAATATTTTGTTGAAGATTTCTGTGTCAATTGTTCATCAGTGATATTGGCCTGCAGTTTTCTTTTTCTGTTGTGTCCTTGTCTGGCTTTGGTATCAGTGTAATGCTGGCCATGTAGAAAGAGTTAGGAAGAATTCTCTCAGCTTCGATTTCTTGGAATAGTGGGGAAGAATTGGTATTAGTCCTTTTCTAAATGGTAGAATTCAGCAGGGAAGCCATTCAGTCCTCAGCTTTTCTTTGATAGGTGACTTTTTATTATTGATCCAATCTCATTAGTGGTTATTGATCTGCTTAGGTTTTCTATATCTTCATGATTCAATTTTGATAAGTTCTATGTTTCCAGGAATTTATCCATTTCTTCAAGTTTTTCCTATTTATTGGCATGTAGGTGTTCATAATAGTCCCTTATGATTCTTTTATTTCTATGCGGACAATTTGTAGTATCTTTTTTTGTCTCTGATTTTATTTATTTGGATCTTTTCTTTTTTTCTTAGTCTAGCTAAAGGTTTGCCAATTTTATTTAGTATTTTTATTCATTTTAATTATTTTTTGTATTTTTTAAGTCTATTCCATTTACTTGTGTTCTGATTTTTATTATTTCTTTCCTTCTACTAATTTGGGGTTCTCCTTATTTTTCTAGTTCCTTGAGGTGCAATGTTAAGTTGTTTATTTGAGATCTTTCTTCTTTTTTATGTAGTTGTTTATTACTATAAACTTCCCTCTTAGAACTTCTTTTGCTGTACCTCATAGGTTTTGGTATATTGTGTTTTAGTTTTCATTTGTGTTAAGAAATTTTTAAATTCCCCTTTTGATTTTTTTTCATTGATCCATTGGTAGTTCAGGAGCATGTTGTTTAATTTCCATGTATTTTTAGTCTCCAATATTCCTTCTGTTACTGATTTCTGGTTTTATACCATTGTGTTCAGAAAAGATACTTGGTATGGTTTCAGTCTTTACATTTGTTAAGACTTATTTTGAGGACTAAAATATGATGTATCCAGGAGAATGTTCCATGTGAAATTGAGAAGAATGAGTATTCTGTAGCTGTTGGATAGAATGCTCTGTATATGTCTGTTAGGCACATTCAATGTAGGGTGCAGTTTTAAACCACTGTTTCTTTGTTGAGTTTCTAACTGAATGATCTGTCCATTGCTGAAAGTGAGATGTTAATATTCCCTCCTATCGTTGTATTGAAGTCTATCTCTCCTTTTAGATCTATTAATATTTGCTTTATATATTTAGGTGCTCCAATGTTGGAAGCATATATTTAGAATAGTTATATCCTCTTAATTGATCTCTTTATCATTAAATTATTAAGTTATAATGATATTATTTATCTCTTCAGTTTTTGACATAAAGTCTATTTTATTCAGCATAGCCACTCTCGCTCTCTTTTGGTTTCCATTTGCTTGGAATATCTTTTTACACCCCTTCACTTTCTGTCTGTGTCCTTACAGGTGTCCTATAAGTAAGACTCTTGTAGGCAGCATATAGCTGTGCTTGTTTTTTATTGTTTGTTTGCTTTTATCAATTTAGCCACTCTATGTTTCTTAAGTAGAGAATGTAATGCATGTATATTTATATATAGTTATTGATAGGTAAGAATTTACTACTGTCATTTTGTTAATTATTTTCTAGTTGCTTCTAGATCCTTTCTTCATTTTTTCATCTTTTACTATCTTCCTTTATGGTTAAATGATTTTCTCTAATAGAATTTTTGATTCCTTGGATTTTATTTTTAATGGATCTATTATAAGATTTGCTTTGCAGTTACCATGAAGTTTCTGCTGCATTTGATCTCCTGGTTGTATGGACTGAATATCTGTGTCCCCTTAAAATGCTAAAATCCTAACCCACAAGGTGACAATATTCAGAGGTAGGGGACTTTGGGAGTTGATTAGGTCATGAGGGAAGAGTCCTTATAAATGGGATTAGTATCCTTGTAAAAGAGGAGTGAGAGAGCTCCTAGCCCTTTCCACCATGAGATAACAGTGAAAAGGTGATCATCTATGAACCAGAAAGCTGACTCTTACCAGACACTGACTCTGTTGACACCTTGATCTTGGACTTCCCACTCTCCAGAACTGTGGGAAATAAATTTCTATTGTTTATAAAACAACCAGTCTAGGGTAGTTTGTCTTAGCAGTCCAAATGGGCAAGGCATTTGGCAAATAAATAGATTGTATCATATTTCTAATTAATATTTTCAGGAAGCCCTATCCAGTAATCTAGGCAATAGAGCCAGTATAGACAGTTCAGTCACATATTTTAGGCCCCAGAGTAGATTCCAGAAGGCCCAATTATTCAGTTAGTATGTCTATACTAAATAAATTACTTAAGCGCTACTCTCCTCTTTGCAAGCACAATCATGGACAAAGACATATAAAAATAATCTTTTAAATACAGATGAAGCAGTAACATCACTGAAAAGTTTATTTTTGCCCAATCACTTGAGTAAATTTCCAGGAGGAGATATGCATGATTATGATGCCATCTTGGATTCACAAATTGCTGTTTTTATGAAGAACTCAATGATAATTAATAGTGCAGATGACATAAAGATTGAAATAAAATCAGCTCATATGAGCTATAATTGTAAATTATGTTGAGATTGCAAGTTCTAATCTTTTAGACAACAAAGCTAAAGTTTTCCTTTTGTGCAATCTAAATAATTACTCTATATTAAAACACTTTATTACTTTATCTATTTTGTTAGGACTCACGTGAGAGTTATTATATGCTCTCATAAGAAAATGTATGAGAAAATAAAAAGAAAGGAAGAATGAAGGTCAAAGTCTATCTAAAAAGAGGGACTGAGAAGGTAATATTTTACTAGCATAAGGTTCCAATGCTCAAGTAAAGCTGGTATTTGAAGCCAACCAAGAAAACAGTCAGAAAATGATGTAGTTTGAATACCTCTTTTCTTCCCTAGAGGTGTAAAAGGATGCCATGTGGGATCCTTTCACTTTGGAGGCACTCCAGAGAAATATCTCACCAAGGTTTCATAACAGATAGGGGGCCAAATGCATCCTGGATAATATTCTTGTGGTGTGTGAAGACGGTGTTAAAGAGCCAGAAAAGTCATTTTCAGGTTTCTTAAGCCAGATAAGGAAAACACACACACACACATACACACACATACACGTTGAACCTGACAGGATTCCAGATGAGTTTTAATATTTTAGAATATCCAACCTGTACCTACATCATTCCAGTTCCTCACAGAGATGAGGCTGTGTTGGTGTTAGCCTCTCATGACCCATGAGAAACACCACCAGCCAGAAATAGAACTGAGAAGGGGCTGGAAATGCATAGGTTGAGGTTCTGGAACCAAAATGGTGTATTAGAACTCATGAGAAACTTTTGTAGGATTTTTAAGACGTGTAAGGTAAAGATTTTAGAAAAGTTCCCACTGAGAAATAGAGGGCACCTAACAAAGGTTTATTAGTATTGGCCACCAATATATTCTTCTATTGCAGCCCTTAGGCAGTTGTTTAAAATGAAGGGGGAAATAAACTGAGGAGAAGAAAAGGAGCAAATCCTTTGGAAAGCACAAAAGTCTCCAAACAGTTCCAATCTTAGAGTGTTAAGATGTTAAAAAATGAGACACATTATCAGGAGATGAAAGTTCAAAGAGGACTCAGCTTTGTGTTGGATAAACAGGAACATATGCCCAGCCTCAGAAATATTTCAAATGTGTTGTGAAACTTCACTCAGTTAGGAGAGAAATGTTAGAGTTCAACTGTGAAAAATTCAGTTGCATATTTGAAAAAAGCAGGTGCTGGGAAAGACCACAAACTTTCTAAGCATGTCAGCACTATACACCACAATAGTAAACAGAATAAAAATGTTATTAAGGCTTAAAAAGGTTTTCTGAGCAATGGATCAGATGAGTCTAAGTAACATTTATTTATCATTGTGTAAATGTATTCCTCTAAGAGAAAAATAAAAGTTAAAAGAAAGAAATTGAGACACTGGAAATATTTCATTGTCGATTTTTTAAAATTTTATTATTATTATACTTAAAGTTTTAGGGTACATGTGCACAACATGCAGGTTTGTTAGCAAGACTAATAAATAAGAAAAGAGAGAAGAATCAAATAGATGCAATAAAAAATGATAAAGGGGATATCACCACCGATCCCACAGAAATACAAACTACCATCAGAGAATACTATAAACACTTCTACGCAAATAAACTAGAAAATCTAGAAATGGATAAATTCCTCGATACATACGCCCTCCCAAGACTAAACCAGGAAGAAGTTGAATCTCTGAATAGACCAATAACAGGCTCTGAAATTGAGGCAATAATTAATAGCTTACCAAGCAAAAAAAGTCCAGGACCAGATGGATTCACAGCCGAATTCTACCAGAGGTACAAGAAGGAGCTGGTACCATTCCTTCTGAAACTATTCCAATCAATAGAAAAAGAGGGAATCCACCCTAACTCATTTTATGAGGCCAGCATCATCCTGATACCAAACCCTGGCAGAGACACAACAAAAAAAGAGAATTTTAGACCAATATCCTTGATGAACATTGATGCAAAAATCCTCAATAAAATACTGGCAAACCGAATCCAGCAGCACATCAAAAAGCTTATCCACCATGATCAAGTGGGCTGGTTCAACATACAAAAATCAATAAATGTAATCCAGCATATAAACAGAACCAAAGACAAAAACCACATGATTATCTCAATAGATACAGAAAAAGCCTTTGACAAAATTCAACAACCCTTCATGCTAAAAACTCTCAATCAATTAGGTATTGATGGGATGTATCTCAAAATAATAAGAGCTATCTATGACAAACCCACAGCCAATATCATACTGAATGGACAAAAACTGGAAGCATTCCCTTTGAAAACTGGCACAAGACAGGGATGCCCTCTCTCACCACTCCTATTCAACATAGTGTTGGAAGTTCTGGCCAGGGCAATCAGGCAGGAGAAGGAGATAAAGGGCATTCAATTAGGAAAAGAGGAAGCCAAATTGTCCCTGTTTGCAGATGACATGATTGTATATTTAGAAATCCCCATCATCTCAGCCCAAAATCTCCTTAAGCTGATAAGCAACTTCAGCAAAGTCTCAGGATACAAAATAAATCTTCAAAAATCACAAGCATTCTTATACACCAATAACAGTCAGAGGACCAAATGATGAGTGAACTCTCATTCACAATTGCTTCAAAGGGAATGAAATACCTAGGAATTCAACTTACAAGGGACATGAAGGACCTCTTCAAGGAGAACTACAAGCCACTGCTCAATGAAATAAAAGAAGATACAAACAAATTGAAGAACATTCCATGCTCATGGGTAGGAAGAATCGATATCGTGAAAATGCCATACTGCCCAAGGTAATTTATAGATTCAATGCCATCCCCATCAAGCTACCAACGACTTTCTTCACAGAATTGGAAAAAACTACTTTAAAGTTCATGTGGAACCAAAAAAGAACCCACATTGCCAAGTCAATCCTAAGCCAAAAGAACAAAGCTGGAGGCATCACACTACCTGGCTTCAAACTATACCACAAGACTACAGTAACCAAAACTGCATGGTACTGGTACCAAAACAGAGATATAGACCAATGGAACAGAACAGAGCCCTCAGAAATAATGCCACATATCTACAACTATCTGATCTTTGACAAACCTGACAAAAACAAGCAATGGGGAAAGAATTCCCTATTTAATAAATGGTGCTGGGAAAACTGGCTAGCCATATGTAGAAAGCTGAAACTGGATTCATTGTCAATTTTTATGGGAAATTTATAAAATCAAGGGAAATTTGAGTAGAAATCACCACATATCAGGAATAAGTGATGTCTGCTGAGGGAGGTTAATTTGTTCATCAGAACAGCCCTATTCAATACATTTTGTTGATTTATGAGTTGTGATGGTCTAGGAGAGTATGCATAGCTGATCAGAAATCTTTTCTTAATCCTGTTACTAAAGGAATTTTAATATATTTACTCCGTGCTTCTTCTAAGTGGCTTATATTTCTGTTTCTTTTATGTCCACTCTACTGTCCACTCATTTAATGAGTACAGTATGCCATGAATAGTGAAAGGGAGTCAAGAAATTTCGATTGATTACCTAAGCAAAAAATCGGTACCTAAAACAAAGGGAAAGTCAAGCAGTTCCAACCCTGTTGGAGAGCAGATCTGGCTCTGATTCAAATGCATGGGCCGTTTCACCAGCTTCCTCAAGTCGCAGTGCTCTCCTCCTCTATCCCAGCCACACAAGGGCATCCCATTGCTGGGGCCACTGCACAAACACTTACCCTGATGACTTCCCCTAGGCCCCAACCATAATATCTTAAACTGTGGGCCTTTACTGTTAAAACTTACAATTTACAAGTTGTCTTGGAGAATATCCACATAGAAGCTGATGAGGATTACCATGATCTGAGTACTGCTCTCTATAATTATTAATTGTGCCTTGTCCCTTATCTGGAAGCCATGAAGTGCTTTCTCCTAATCTGGAAAATTAATCCATGTTACTATGCCACTGGAATAAGGGGTTAACCTCCCCAATTAACATTTGCATTTCATTGTGAAAGAACCTAGACAGAAGAAAAAGTAGGCTAACAGGTTAGCAGAGTTGAGGGAAGCATTTCAGAATGGAGTCACTCTTCTTTTGAAACCCACATTGCCTACTCAACAACACCTTCTCCCCATTGCAGACTTCCTGTAAACTCCGGTTCTCATTAAATATTTTGGAGGAAACATTTAAAAATACGGTAAAGGCCGGGTGCGGTGGCTCACGCCTGTAATCTCAGCACTCTGCAAGGCCGAGGCGGGTGGATCACCTGAGGTTGGGAGTTCGAGATCAGCCTGAGCAACATGGAGAAACTCTGTCCCTACTAAAAATACAAAATTAGCCGGGCTTGGTGGCTCATGCCTGTAATCCCAGCTACTCGGGAGGCTGAGGCAGGAGAATTGCTTGGACCCGGGAGGTGGAGGTTGCGGTGAGCCGAGATTGTGCCATTGCACTCCAGCCTGGGGAAAAAGAGGGAAACTCCCTCAAAAAAACAAACAAACAAACAAAAACCCAAAAAACTTAAAAATGCAAGTACACTCTCCAACACACACATATCCCATCATCATATAGGTACTATTCACTTCCCAGAATTAACAAATGCTAACAGTTTGTCACTTTGGTTCAATTTTTATTTTTATTTTTGGAAACAGTGTCTCACTCTGTCGCCCAGGCTGGAGTGTAGTGGCGCCATCTCTGCTCACTGCAACCTCTGCCTCCCAAGCTCAAGTGATTCTCCGGACTCAGCCTTCTGAGTAGCTGGGACTACAGGTGCATGCCACCACTCTGGGCTAATTTTTGTATTTTCTGTAGAGACAGAGTTTGACCATGTCACCCAGCCTGGTCTGAAACTCCTGGACTCAACTAATCCACTTGACTCGGCCTCCCAAAATGTTAGGATTACAGGCGTGAGCCACGGTGCCTGACCCTATTTTCTTTTTCAAAAGAGCATTTCAGATAAATTTGAAACAACATTTGTTACAACTTCTCATCCTTTCTCCCTCTCACCTTCACTCTCCAGAGATAATCATTATTTGATTTGTATCTTTCTAGGTCATTAAATACATGCATCTATTTAGAAATAATATATGGTATTGCTTTGTGTGTTCTTTTAATTTTTCCTAAGTACCTTCATGTTGTACATATTCTTCAGCTTGCTTTTTATCACTCAACATTGTATACTAGATTGTCCTATAAATAAACAGGTAATTAGTTTGGTCACTTTAACTGCTATGTCGAATTTTTTATGACTGATGACACCATAGTCTACTTCTTAATTCCTCTAATAGATATTTCCAAATTTTCACGATTTCATACAATACTATATGAATATCCTACACACATCTTTGCACATGTGCCATAACTCTCTTAGGGTGCTTATACCTCCAGGTAGAATTGCTGGGTTGTAGGGTCTGAGTACTTTCATTCTTACTATACAGTATCAATTGTTTCTCTAAAAGGAATTGCATGAATTTACATTGCCACCAGCAATGTCTGATAGTTCCTCCTTTGTTATACACTCACCAACACTTTATATTATCAGTCTGGTATCACTGTTGAACCTACATAAAAAGGAGGAAACTGAGGGACCTAAAGGACCCCTAGCTTGATCAAAGCTACATACTTAACACATAGCAGAGCCAGGATTTACACCCTTGACAACCCACACTCTACAACACTTCACTCTACTAGCTCCCAATAATTTCTTCCTTGTAAGTAAATTACAAAATGAATGTAAACACTTAGCCTATTACCTAGTATAGACAAACTCTATAAATGTTATTTTTATTTCCCATAAAGACTATTCTAAACTTTTCAACTTTACTCCAACCTTGAATATGCTCCCACAGATGAACTTGTATCACTGTGCTCCAATATCTTCTGTAGGACAGTAGAACCATAGAATCTATGGATTGTCTATTCAATTTCATGTAATGAAAATCTCATTACCTACAGGCCTCCAACTTTGTCTTCACCTTCTCCTACTCCTCCTCATCCTCCTTATCCTCATCCTTCAAAACTCTCTCAGGAAACCTCACATGACCAAAACTTTGCAAACAGGTTAGGAACCTGAAAGTGATGCACTTTTAAATTTCTTCTTCTGACCTACATGTAAAGTATTCAGTATAATGCCTGGAATATAGCATGTGTCCAGTAAATGCCAACTTTTCTTATTTGGATTCTGTGGTATCAGTGTGCCACAAGATAATCATTTCCACTTGGCAGGCTGACTTGAATTTCTGCTGCAGCATGAGTGGAATGTGGGTGTAAGACACAATGAGATATTAAAAGAAAAAAAATTCACCTTCCTCTTTTCTTCCAACAGAGGAAGCATTTCACTTTCTTTCCCAAGGTAACTCCTCTACTTGTGTCCATTATCTTATTCACTTTTGCCTCTTCCAGGACGTTTCCCCCTCTTTCAAGTCTTCAATCTTTCATCCTCTTTTATTCTCTATAATTTTATTTTATTAACTTTAAGATACCAACAATTGTAAAGAATAAAAAAAAGTCATCAAACCAGGATAGAATATGTTATCCCTCAGATAGTGACACAGATTTTCATCATATGTCATGGTTGAGCCTACATGAAAAGAGAAAACAAAACTTTGCATATACATAGGACTACTGATGCTGCTTTTGCACACAGTTTTGTCCTCTGTGTTATCAAAAGTGTTGGCGACACACTATTTCTTAAGAGTGCTCCTCTGTTGTTTCCCAGACTTTCTTTCAAATGCTTCACCCACCCTCTAAGCTTTGACATGCATGTGTTGACAGTGACTAAAAGTCATGACTGCTGCCTAGCTCAACAGCAACAGTAAAATGCATCCTGATTTCAGAAATATTAAAATGTGGACAAAAATATACCACAGAAACAATAAAATGTAGTAGAGCCTTCTCCTCAGCTTGTAAACATGATGAAGTCACCCCATAAAATTAATGAGAAAATTGAATATTGGAGGTAGAAACACAGTGAGGAAAAGGAGATGAGACCAAAAACTTCTCTTTCTATCTCTTTGAACCAATAAAGTGCTTGTTAATTAGTAACATTTATTTTAGATGCATTTATTAAAGATTCTGGTCCAATATATTTACTTTGTTCATTGTGTTCAACATCATTTTTCTGTACATCATACGCTTTTTGAAAATTTAACTAGAGAAGTTTTTTTCATAAGATTATGTTTTTTATGGTTTATGAAAGGTTAGGTTATAAATATTTCAATACACTTAATTCAGATAGTTGACTCACAGACCTCTGGGTTACAGTATATTATAGATCCCCCAAAATGCTGAATCCATCTACATCTAACCCATTTTAAAAAATTCTAATAATACTGTTTGGAAAAAAATGCTAATGATTTCCATATATTATTTTGATGTATTTTTATTGTATATATTTAAGGTGTATAACATGATGTTTACATATATATACACATGGTGAAATGATTACCACAGTCAAGAAAATTAATATATCCATCACCTCACTTAGTTACTTTCTAAATTTTGTAGTCAAAGCACCTAAAATCTACTCTCTTAGCAAATTTCTAGTATAAAATACAGTATTAACTATAGTCCTCAAGCTGTGTATTAGCTCTCTAGACTTATTCATCCTACATTACTACAACTTTATACCCTCTGAATTGGCAAAATTTTATATTCTCGTAAAGAAATCCTGGCAAAACTTCCAAGATTATAAAATAGCTGCTTCAAAACATTAAGAAATAAAATTTGTTTTTTAGCTATAAGTAGATGAATTATTTTATACATACTTTTAAAAGTGATATTTTATCATAATAATTTATAGGAAAATGACTTAATTATCTCATATTATACAAATTGTTATATTTACCTACTTGAAATCCTAAGTAGTCCTGAGTTATTTCTTCCTGAACAATGGAACGTTTTGAAGCACAGATCAAAGAATCAAAGAGATAAAAATTAAAACAGTAAAGTTCCTTTTATTCCTTATGCCCATCTTGCTCTCAAGAGTACAAAATGAATAACATTATTGGTAAAGAAATGAAAAATAGATACATGCATTATAGCTGAGACATTTTAAATCTGGACATTCATTTTGAAGGGTATTTTGACATTATGTATAAAAACATTAATTTGTGTAAATGCCTTGATATGGATTGGCTGTGTCCCCATCCAAATCTCATCCTGAATTGTAGCTCCCATAATTCCCACATGTTGTGGTAGGGACCTGGTGAGAGATAAATTGAATCATGGAGGTGGTTTCCCCCATACTGTTCTTGTGGTAGTGAATATGTCTCACAAGATCTGATGGTTTTATGGGGGAAAACCTCTTTCACTTGGCTCTCATTCTGTCTTGTCTGCCATCATGTAAGACGTGCCCTTTGCCTTCCACCGTGATTATGAGGCCTCCCCTGCCACGTGGAACTGTGAGTCCATTAAACCTCTTTTTGTTTATAAATTACCCAGTCTCAGGTATGTCTTTATTAGCAGTGTGAAAACTGACCAATACAGTAAATTGGTACCAGTAGAGTGGGTGCTGCTGTAAAGATACCTGTAAACGTGGAATCGACTTTGGAACTGGGTAACAGGCAGAGGTTGGAACAGTTTAGAGGGCTCTGAAGAATACAAGAAAATGTGGAAAAGTTTGGAACTGCCTAGAGACTTGTTGAATGGCTTTGGCCAAAATGCTGATAATAATATGGACAATGAAATCCAGGCTGAGGTGGTCTCAGATGGAGATGAGGAACTTGTTGGGAACTGGAGTAGAGGTGACTCTTGCTAGGTTTTAGTAAAGAAACTGGTGGCATTTTGCCCCTGCCATAGAGATTTGTGGAACTTTGAACTTAAGGGAGATGATATAGGGTATCTAGTGGAAGAAATTTCTAAGCAGAAAAGCATTCAAGAAGTGAATTGGGTGCTGTTCAAAGCAATCAGTTTCAAAATGGAAACAGAGCATAAAAGTTCAGAAAATTTGCAGCCTGATGATGCGATAGAAAAGAAAAATCCATTTTCTGAGGAGAAATTCAAGCCAGCTGCAGAAATTTGCATAAGTACTGAGGAGTCAAATGTTAATTGCCAAGACAATGGGAAAAATGTCTCCAGGGCATGTCAGCAACCTTCTCAGCAGCACCTCCCATAACAGGCCCAGAGGCCTAGGAGAAAAAAATGGTTTCATAGGCTGGGCCCAGGTTCCCCTGCTGTGTGCAACCTAGGGACTTGGTGCCCTATGTCCCAGCTGCACCAGCCATGGCTAAAAGGGGCCAAGGTACAGCTCAGCTCGAGTTGTGGCTTCAGAGGGTGCAAGCCCCAAGCCCTGGCAGCTTCCATGTGGTGTCAAGCCTGCAGGTGCACAGAAGTCAAGAACTGAGGTTTGGGAACCTCTGTATAGGTTTCAGAGGATGTATGGGAATGCCTGGATGTCCAGGAAAAAGTTTGCTGCAAGGGCAGGGCCCTCATGGAGAACTTCTGCTAGAGGGATGTGGAAGGGAAATGTGGAGTTGAAGCCCCCATACAGAGTTCCCACTGAGGCACTGCCTAGTGGAGCTATGAGAAGGGGGCCACCATCCTCCAGACCCCCCAGAATGGTAGATCCACCAACAGCTTTCACCATGCATCTGGAAAGGCCACAGACACTCAACACCAGCCCATGAAAGCAGCCAGGAGAGGGCCTACGCCCTGCAAAGCCACAGGGGCAGAGCTGTTCAAGACCATGGGAACCTATCTCTTGCATCAGCATGACCTGGATATGAGACATGGAGTCAAAGGAGATCACTTTGGAGCTTTAAGATTTGACTGCCCTGCTGGATTTTGGTCTGCATGAGGCCTTTAGCCCCTTTGTTTTGGCCAATTTCTCCCATTTGGAATGGCTGTATTTACCCAATGCCTGTATCCCCATTGTATCTAGGAAGTAACTAACTTGCTTTTAATTTTACAGGCTAATAGGTGGAAGGGACTTGTGTTGTCTCAGATGAGACTTTGGGCTGTGGACTTCTGAGTTATTTTGGGGACTAAAATATGATGTATCCAGGAGAATGTTCCATGTGAAATTGACTTTTGAGTTAATGCTGAAATGAGTTAAGACTTTAGGGGACTGTTAGGAAGGCATGATTGGTTTTGAAATGTGAGGACATGAGAGTTGGGAGGGGCCAGGGGGAGAATAATAGGGTTTGGCTGTGTCCCTACCCAAATCTCATTTTTTATCATAGTTCCCATAATTACCACATGTTGTGGGAGGGACCCAGGGGGAGATAATTGAGTCATGGGGGTGGTTTCCTCCATACTATTTTTGTTGTATTGAATAAGTCTCATGAGATCCGATGGTTTAATCAGAGGAAACCCCTTTCACTTGGCTCTCATGCTCTTGTCTGCTGCCATGTAAGATGTGCCTTTTGCCTTGTACCATGATTGTGAGGCCTCCCCAGCCACGTGGAACTGTGAGTACATTAAACCTCTTTTTCTTTATAAATTACCCAGTCTTGGATACGTCTTTATCAGCAGCATGAAAACGTACTAATATATGCCTTAACCTAGCAATTCAAAGTATAAAAATTTATCCTAATACCTCTATGAAAAAGCTAGAAAACCTAGAAGAAATAGATAAATTCCTGGAAACATACAACCTCCCAAGATTGAACCAGGAAGAAATTGAATCCCTGAACACACCAACAAGTACTAAAATTGAAGCAGTAATAAAAAGGCTACCAACCAGAAAAAGCCCAGGACAAGACAGATTCACAAATGAATTCTGCCAGATGTATAAGGAAGAGCTGGTACCATTTCTACCAAAACTGTTCCAAAAAATTAAAGAGGGGTCTCCTCCCAAACTCATTCTGTGAGGTCAGCATCATCCCAAACCTAGCAGAGACACATACACACAAATAAAAGAAAACCTCAGGCCGATATACTTAATGATTATAGATGCAAAAATACTCTAAAAAATACTAGCAGATCAAATCCAGCAACCCATCAAAAAGCTAATTTACCATGATCAAGTAGGCTTTATCTCTGGGATGCAAGGTTGATTCAACATACACAAATGAATAAATGTGATTAATCACATAAACAGAACTGAAAATAAACCGCATGATCATCTTTTAGGTGCAGGAAAGGCTTTTGATCAAATTCAATATCCCTTTATGTTAAAACCCCTCAACAAGTGAGACATTGAGGTAACATACCTCAAAGTAGTAAGAGCCATCTATGAAGAACCCACAGCGAACATCATACTGAATGGGCAAAAGCTAGAAGCACTTCCCTTGAAAAATGGAACAAGACAAGGATGCCTTCTCTCACCACTCTCATTCGACATGGTACTGAAGGTCCTAGCCAGAGCAATCAGGCAAGAGAAAGAAATAAAAGGCATCCAAATAGGAAGAGAGGAAGTCAAACTATCCCTGTTTGCAGATTATATGATTCCATACCTAGAAAACCCTATAGTCTCTATGCACAAGCTCCTTGATCTGATAAACAACTTCAGCAGAGTTTCAGGATAGAAAATCAATGTACAAAAATCAGTAACATTCCTATACATCAGCAACATCCAAGCTGAGAACCAAATGAAGAACACAATCCCACTTAAAATAGCCTCAAGAAGAATAAAATACCTAGGAATACAGCTAACCAAGGAGGTAAAAAACGGCAATGAAAATTACAAAACACTGCTAAAAGAAATCAGTGATGACACAAACAAATGGAGAAACATTCCATGCTCGTGGATAGGAAGAATCACTATTGTTTAAATGTCCATACTGCCCAAGGCAATTTACAGACTGAATGCAATTCCTATCAAACCACCAATGATGTTCTTCAGAGATTTAGAAAAAACTATTTTAAAATTCATATGAAGCTAAAAAAGAGCCCAAATAGCGAAGGCACTTCTAAGCAAAAAGAACCAAAAGAACACTTCTAAGCTGGTGGTACCACATAACCCTACTTCAAACTACACTACAAGGCTATAGTAACCAAAACAGCATGATACTGGCACAAAAAGAGACACGAAGACTAATGAAACAGAAAAGACAGTGCAGAAATTATGCCACGCACCTACAACTATCTGGCCTTCAACAAAATCAGCAAAAACAAGCAATGAATGAGGAAAGAACTTATCCCATAAATGGTGCTGGGATAACTGGCTAGCCATATGTAGAAGATTGAAACTGGGCCCCTTTCTTACACCATCTACAAAAACTAACCCAAAATGGATAAAGACTTAAATGTAGAACCTCAAACTATAAAAACCCTGGAAGATAACCTAAGAAATACCATTCTGGACATAAGGCCTGACAAAGATTTCATGATGAAGATACCAAAAGTAATTGTTAACAAAACCAAAAATTGACAAATGGGACCGAATTAAACTAAAGAGCTTCTGCACAGCAAAAGAAACTGTCAACAGAGTAAACAATGTACAGAATGGGAGAAAATATTTGCAAACTATGCATCTGACAAAGGTCTAATACCCAGAATCTACAAGGAACATAAGGAAATTTACAAGCAATAAACAAACAACCCTAAAAAGTGGGCAAAAGAAATGAACGACTCTTTTCAAAAGACATACAGGCAGCCAACAAGCATATGAAAAAATGTTCCACAACACTAATCATTAGAGAAATGCAAATCAAAACCACAATGAGATACCATCTCACACCAGTCAGAATGGATGGCTACTATTATAAAGTCAAGAAATAACAGATGTTGGCAAGGTTGTCGAGAAAAGCAAACTTTTATACACTATTGGTGGGAATGTAAATTAGTTCAGCCATTGTGGAAAGCAGTTTGGAGATTTCTCAAAGAACTTAAACAGAACTACCATTTGACCCAGCAATCTCATTACTGGGTATATGCCCAAAGGAATATAAATTGTTCTACCATAAAGACATATGCATGTGTATATTTATCAAAGCACTATTCACAATTGCAAAGACATGGAATCAAACTGAATGCCCATCAACGGTAGATTGGATTTTAAAAATGTGGTACATACATACCATGGAATACTATGCAGCTGTAAAAGAGAAATTAGATGTTCTTTGAACCAACATAGACAGAGCTGGAGGCTGTTATTTCAAGCAAACTAATGTCGGAGGAGAAAACCAAATATTGCATATTCTCACTTATAGTTGGGAGCTAAACTTTAAGTACACATGGACACAAAGAAGGGAACAAGAGACATGGGGGTCCACTTGAGAGTGGAGGGTGGGAGGAGTGTGAGGATTGAAAAACTACCTATTGCATACTATGCTAATTACCTAGGTAACAAAATAATCTGTACACCAAACCCTGTGCCCCACAATTTACCTACATAACAAACCTGCAAATGTCCCCTGAACCTAAAAGTTAAAAAAAAATTAGTTATCCTAAGGCAGCAATTAGAAAAGTACTCAAAGCTATGGACAGAAAGATGCTTGTTAGAGTCATTTAGAGTAGTGAAACACCAAAACAGTCTAAACGTTCAACTATAGCTAGTTAACAAATTATGGCATATCCATTTTTAAAAAATTATTTTTATTTGAGACAGGGTCTCACTCTGCCACCCAGGCTGGAGTGCAATGTTATGATCATGGCTTACTGCAGCCTCAAACTTCCTGGACTTGGGTGATCCTCCTATGTCAGCCTCCTGAGTAGCTGGGACCACAGGCACACACCACCATGCCCAGCTAATTCTTGTATGTTTTTGTAGAGACTGTTTGGCCATGTTGCCCAGGGTGGTCACGATCTCCTGGGCTCAAGTAATCCACCTGCCTTGGCTTTCCAAAGTGCTGGGATTACAGGCATGAGCCACCACACACAACCTAAAAAATTATTTAGCCAATAAAAGTTATGAGTTAGATCTCGATTTACTGACATGATGTGGCAGAGAGAGTAATGCCTAGTAGTGTTTCACTTGCTTCTTTCATTTCTTGTCTCCCTTGCAGTTAGGTGAAGCCATGTAACTCATTCTAGCCAAAGAAATGTGGAAGTCAAGTGTGCCACTTCCAGACTGAGGCAATTAAAAGCCCTTGTAAGATTTCCAATTTCTCCCCTTAGAAATGGAGGAAGTAGGGCATCCAAATACTGCAGCTACAAGATGATGGAGTTTCCATGAGCTTAGATCCCTGAGTAGGAATGTGTGGCACAGAGCCCTCCATTAACCTGTTTGGGATAGGTAGCACGAATAAGAAAGAAACTGGTGTGGTATTCAACCACTTAGAGTTTCACATTTTCATACTGCAGCTTAAATTGGCCAAGCCTCGCTAACCTAATACACATTCTAAAAGATTTATGACACATTAAACAAAACAAGTGTCAATGATAAAATATAAAAAAGGTAACAGTTTGTTTTTGTAAAACAGAATGACAGTATTTTGTTTCTTCTCATTTTACAAATTAAATTTTTTTAACCTTAAGAATTAATTTTTTTCCTTTGTAAAAAACTTTAGAACAAAATAAATTATATACCATGCTCAACAAAAGTAGCTTCATTAATGGATAGATAGAAAACAACAAAACACACCTAAATTTTACGAGCTTTTTTACAAGCTAATAGTTTTTAGAAATATGGAATACAGGGATGTTCAAAGAGAGAAGATTTCTCAGTCCATGTCTGTGTGTTGGGGTGTGGTATGTGGATGCTCAGATGTTCCAGCCCCGAAGCAAGTGAAAGAAGATTCTTTGTGGCAGTAGGAAAGTTGTGGTATTGTACAATGTGGGATGGAAAATTAAGAACAAATGTTCTCTCTATGGAAAAATGCCTTGGGAGTAAATAATGAAGCTGGAGATGAAGAGCAGAACCCAGCTTTATCCAAGAAGCCACAGAGGTAGCTGCCTGAACAGAGAATGTCATTTACATAAAGGTTTTGTGGCCCAGATGAAATTCTGAAAGTTTGTGTTTTCCGGTGTGCGCAGACCCTGAACCCTTCTCCTCTGGCTCTGCTCAGCCTCTCTTCCTTCTCTACTTTGTCTCTATGCCTGTTTTTTACCTTCTCTCTTCCATTTTATTTTCTGCTTATTTTATTCTCAGGAACCATCATGACCTCAGGATATTTTCCATTACTCAGAAACCTTCCCACTACTATGAAAGCAGGCAGGATGGCAACAGAAATGCGTGGCCTTTCAGATGAAAGTAAATTTGGAAAAATTTTCTTCCATTCCCTCATATTAAGACTGAAGGTTGTAGAGAAGGATGGAAAACGTGAGTGTTACTGATTTAGTGAAGGTTATTGCTTTAAAGGCAGAAGATTGTTTTCCCTGATATTGGTTAGCCTGGTGGGGCAGATGTTAGGACTAGGTGCTTTTCTTTGTTGCTGCACACAGATTGGCTTATTGGTTTACCTGTTTTTCATTCACTAAGGCAAATCCCTAAGCAAGGAGCTCCCTCGTTCTCTGACATGACATTGATGTAAGCTTTATTAAAAGATACTGTTCTTAAAAGCAGAAAGAACTGAATGGGGGGTTGATTTTGTGCCAAGGTGATAATGAGGATCAGCTAAGGAGGTCTGTTACTGGCAGAACTGGTGTGTGCTTTAAGACACACAGTGGTGCCAAGAAACAATACAAAGTGTGAGAACAAGCAGACTGAGTCACGATCCATTGCAGATTCTAAATTGTACACTTCTGTCTCTATATATAGCTCGTCAAAAGTGTCATTTCTGCTGTCATGAGAACTTTTTAGATTGCCATCACCGTAAGTACAGCAACAACAATAGCATTTCGTTATATTAACGGTATCTGAATCCCACAGCAACATGTAGTTGCTCCTGACACATTTAACTTGGGGAATATTAGGCTGGGAGAATCTCTGGGGGAAACAGCGTACTGCTTCTTAAATCTATGAAAAGAGGAGTCATTCCGGTTGACATAGACTATAGAGTGTTGTACTTTTTTGGATCTGGCTGTCAGAAATCTCCAAGTATGGTGTGAAAGATGTATAACATTCTTTCAGCAAGGCTATTTTTTTTTCAAGCGGTATTATGTGGGTTTGAAACCAGAATGGGAGTGCTCTTGTTAATAATTCTTCCGCATGCTGATTGTGCAGCCGAGGTGCTAAAGGCAAGGGGGTACGACATTTTCAAATGTACGGAGAAAGAAAAGCATTTTATAGGGTCATCTGTATTTCTGTTGTTATTTCTGCCTTTTAAACAAAAGGACATCTTTGGTTCATTTTGGGCAAAAGCTCTCATTTATGCAGACACATTATAAAATAAAATCTTCCTTTGTTTTATAAGTCAAAAAAATTATGGGGAATGCCTTGGGGATACTTTAATGAACGATCTCTTTTAATTATTTATTTTCCTATGTGCATTTTCAAAAAATATCTCTGATAAAAAAAAAAACTAGATGTCATCAAAACATAGAAATGTTCTGACTACAGAACTCTTATGATGATCTCACATAGAGAAAATGCACGTTAAACAAGTATTAAACACGCACACTCACTGTACAGGAGTAGAATGAAAAAGAAGCTAGAGTGTTTTATTTTATGTATTTATTTATTTATTCACTTATTTATTTTTTATTTTTTGAGACCGAGTCTTGCTCTGTCGCCCAGGCTGGAGTGCAGTGGCGCCATCTCGGCTCACTGCAAGCTCCGCCTCCCGGGAGAAGCTGCAGTTTTTATCCTCAAAGAACAATCTATTTTTTAAAAAACTCTTAAGTACTAGTTTTTTTCTTTTTTACTTAAAAAAGTACATATAGCAGGCTGGGTGCGGTGGCTCACGCCTGTAATTCCAGCACTTTCGGAGGCCGAGGCAGGTGGATCACGAGGTCAGGAGTTCAAGACCAGCCTGACCAACATGGTGAAACCCCATCTCTACTAAAAATACAAAAATTAGCTGGGCGCGGTGGCAGGTGCCTGTAATCCCAGCTACTTGGGAAGCTGAGGCAGGAGAGTCACTTAAACACAGGGGGCGGATGTTGCAGTGAGCCAAGATCACGCCACTGCACTCCAGCCTGTGCAAGAGAGTGAGACTCTGTCTCAGAAAAAGAAAAAAAAAATACAGCAAAATTCACTCTTTGAAGTGTATAGTTCTGTAATTTTGACAAATGAATACAGTTGTGTCACTACCACTACAACCAAGATACAGAACAGATCCTCAAAGCATGTCCCCCAGTCCCCTTGTAGCTGAGCTGCCCCTAGTCCCAAACTCTGGAAACCATTTGTTTTTTGCCTCCATTGTTTTGTGTTTTCCAGAATGTCATATAATTGAATCATACAGTATTGTGGTCTTTGGGGTCTGGTGTTTTTCACTAAACAAATTGCATTTGAGATTCATCCATATTGTTAAATGAATTTACAGTGCATTCCTTTTTATTGTCAAATAGAATCCCATTGCATAGGTGTACCATAATTTGTTTATTCATGAACAAGTTGAAGGGTTGTTTCCAGTTTTTGCTAATTATGAAGTTACTAAAAATATTTGTGTACAGATTTTCATTTAAACACAAGCATTTATCTCTTGGGTAAATACCTAGTTGCAGGATTATTGATTCACATGGTGAGTATATGTTTAACTTTAAAAGAAACTGGCAACCTGTCTTCCTTAGTGGCTATATCATATTGTATTCCCACCAGAAGTGTAGTACAGGAGTTCCATTTGCTCAGAATGCTTGCTCACACTTAGTATTGTCAGGTTTTTAAAACTTTTCTTCATTCTAATAATTGGTCTGTAGTGACATTTCCTTATGGTTTTAATTTGTATTTCCTTAATGACTAACAATGTTGAACATCATTTCATGTTGCTGTTATCCATGTATTTTCTCAGTTGATTTATTTGTACAATTTTTTGCCCATTTAAAAAAGTGGATCTTTTGTTTTCTTACTGAATTTTGAGAGTTCTTTGTATGTTCTAGATAAAAGCCTATTGTTAAATATGTGTTTTGCAAATATTTTTGTGAAGTCAGTACCTTTACACCCTTTTAGCAGTGTCTTTTACAAACCAGGTTTTCATTTTGATGAAATCCAGTTGATCACCTTTTTTGGTGCTTTTGGTGTCGTACCTAAAAGATATGCTTGGCCCAAAATCACAAAATTTTTTTTACTTTTTTGTTCTAGGAATTTGATAATTTTAGATCTTACATTTAAGTCTCTGATCTATTTTGAGTTAATTTTTATATAATGTATGAAGTATGTGTCAAAGTTCATTTTTTAATATTGATATGCAATTCTCTTAACATCATTTAGGGAAAATTCTGTACTTTCTCCATGAAATTGCCTTTGTACCTTTGCTAAAAATCAATTGGTCAAATGTGTGTCTGCTGTTGACTCTCAATTCCGTTCTGTTGATATTCATGCCTGCCCTTTCACCAATACCACACTGCTTTGGTTACAATAGTTTTATAGTAAGCCTTAAATCAGCTTAGGTGAGTCTTCCAAACTCTTCCTCTTCAAAATTGTTTTGGCTATTCTAGTTCCTTTGACTTTCCATGAGAAATGTAGAATCAGATTGTTAATTTCTACAAAAAAATACTGCTGGAACTTAGATTGGAATTGTGTAAAATCTATGTAACATAATTTTTCGGACATAAAGAAACTTCTGCAAAGCACAACTAAAAATCCTAAGAGGCATCCTAAAATCAATTCATATGAGCTAACATTCCTGTTTGTGAACTTGGCATTTGATAGTTATGTGACATCTCTCTTTTAAAATGGTACCCATTAGATAAAGCATTGGAGAAAATATTGAGATTACAAAACCTGTTTATTGGCCCAATACACTATGTTGGTGGGTCTTATAAATCACAACTTAGTTTTCAGGTGGGTAAGTCAACTGAACAGGCCTTCAAAGTTAACATAATTAGGTATAAAAAGATAGCTCATCCTAATAATATACTGTGCTTACTTGTGTCAAAATAGCAAACTTCAAACTGGAAACATGATTCTTTCTGCCCAGGAGGATTGAGTGATATCACACAGAGAACCACTGTTTCCCGCAGTGTCCTGTCTGTTTGTCCTATTTAAACAATGACAACACAGCTGCGTAGGAACACAGGCTCTAACTTAAAGTATGAGAAAGAGGGATGTAAAAGAGTATTCACATTATATTGGAATAATTCCTAAATCAAAGGGGGTTTATGAAAGGGAGCCTGAAATTTATGTTCATGGGGCCCTAAGATCACTATTGTGTTAATATCACAGAAAGAATATCACCCTTTTCAGCATTTCATCTACACCCTGTTTGTTTCTTCCCTTCAACTGAATTGTTTGATGCACTGCCAGTTTTCTTGGTTTCCTGGTGATTTCCATTGTAGAAGTTGTAAAAATCTTTTAATTGCACCAAACAAAGTACTCAACCATTATTGACATGGTGCTGGCTTGTGTCTTGAGAAATTTTCAAACAAAGTCTGTGGATAAAAGTATAGCAGCATGTTTTGCACATTGAACGGGAGAAAAATAAAAGAAAATCAGCTTTTTTTTCTTGTTGTCACATGCTTTCTGGCATCATTTTAAATGTATTTATAATACTGCTGTCATTAATATTATGCTCACTTGGTTGAAATTATTTTGTTTCTCCCTTTGGAAATAGAGCTGCTCAAGACTGATAAATAATAACACATTATATAAGTACTGTGGATTATTTAACATTCTGATTAATGAGATATTTTCTACCCCAAAATGACAATCTTTAAAGCTTTGCAGATGTAAGCTTGTCAATCTCAAATTATGAATAGTGTTTACGTTTGAAAGATGAATCTGATACATTGGTAAAGTGGTTAATTTTGCTCTCAAACCTTTTTCATGAAATCTCTAGTGGAGTAATGAGGATGAAAAGTTCTCATTAAAAACTGACCTTGTCTATATGGCATTGAGCCAAACCAGACCACACAAGCTCTTACAGGTTCAAAGATTTTTGAAAATATAGATTCAGATTCTGTTAAGGTTGTTTTCATTTTTGGTTTACTATCAGACCCTTTAACAGGCATGGCAAAAACTATAAAAGAGGTGAGGGTACAAGTGAGTGAACTAAGGAGCTGGAGATAGAACACAACTCCCTCTCCCTGTAACCTCTCATGTTCTGATATTCCACAAGGAGCTCACCCAGTCACGAGAGCTGGAATGTCAGGCTCTCTTCTTCTTAATACTTCTTTCAGTTGGAGGGTGAGAGGGGCATCAGCGCTCAAGGCTTCACTGTATTAGCACGTGAAGAAATCCGTGCTGTGCCGTTACCTACTCCCCACATCATCAGCCTTTCTCATCAGGGCACTAGGCTGGGCCATGACCTGGCACAGGGGTTCTTCCTCCAAATGTGCTGCAAATCTGCCTGGTCCTCATTAGGCTATCTTCCTTCTCTTTGTCATGCATCCTTCCACTGGCAGAGATTTTGCTAAGCTTTGCTATTGCTTTAAAAGAAAGACATGTCCACAACAAAGAATATTTGAACACCAGATTCCTCAGCCTTTGTGGCTAATTTTTAACTAATTGAAGAGGCAAGGAAGGTCTCAGGAAGCTAACTCAGATGAAGACATAAGAAGAGCAATTGGGTAATCATAGAATAAACTAAAGCCTGATTGCTACTGGATTTTTTTTTTCAGGGAAAGTTTTTTTCAAAAATGTTTCATGCAACCCCAGAATCATCAAACATATGTGATATAAAAAAGCATCAAAAGGAAAAGAGACTAAAAACTGGTTTTACGACAAAATGGTTCCAACGACTTTTCCAAGCTCTAAAGATTTCTATGTCCTTGGATTCTCAGCCCTTCAGTCACTTTAGAGCTATAAAAAGAAGTAGAATAAATGTCCTGACAGCATAGTTTATTCAATCAAATAGAGCAGATTAAAATCAAGTTTATCCACGTAAAGAAGTATTCTTTATAGTGTTAGGACCCCCCTTGTTCTCTCAATGAGTAAGAAGGATCTCTCCTCACTGTAAGGGAGTTGCCTTCTAAACACGTGTTTGATGTTGTCAAACATCTTGATGATTATAGTCTTCTTCACAATAATGTAACACTATGATATCAACCTTGAACATTTAAGAGGGGAGATGAAGACTGAGGACAGAAGAAAAGTGCTATTGCTGTTAGGAAGAAACTTACAGAATGCATGAAAAAAGGAGAATGCTCAGTATGAGTAGGACACGAGAGAGTTCAAAACCAGGAGAGATGAGAAAAGGGGCAGCAATAAGAAAAAGACTCAAAGGACCAACCCTGCAAAGGTGTCCATGGAACCTTTCCAGATAGTGCTTCATGGAACCTAAAAAGAAAAACCAGGAGTACAGACAATTACTACTGTTCCCAACTGCCATGGAAATAACTACAAAATATAAACTAACAAGCCAGTACTAAGACAGGAAATAAGGAAAAATGACACATGCGAGATACTTGAGCATTTCTATTGTATTGAAAGTGATATGAAGGGCCAATATTTGAATTTCCACACCATGAAGTAACTGGAAAGTAGGTATAGGAGACCCTGAAAAAAAGAGCCACTAACAGTCTATACCTAAGAGGAAGGAGGGCAAGGTGTGGGACAGACAGCCACAGCAAATCGAAAATATGTGTGGATGAGCTTTCGTCTGGAGCAGATGGCCCCAATGAACAGAGTTGGCAGAGTGGGCCTCCTCTGAAAGACATGGAAAAGATACTGTAAGTCAAAAGGAGACCATCTGGAGGAAGCAGAGGAAATGCCTTCCCTAAAATAGATTTTCTGCAAGAAAAAAACTCATTTTATAAAACGTCTAATCTGGGTTCTCAAAAATATATGTCAAATATCAAAAGAAAGAAGTTAAGAAAAGTCAAATTTTATGAAGGTAAAAAATGAAATTATTCAACTAAGACCTGAGGAGGAGCAATGAACAGCAGACTAGATATTGCAGAAAATTCACGTTAGTGAAAAAAAAGAAAAGTTTCAGAATTTTTCCACAAGTGACAGATAAAACAATGAAAATTATTTCTAGAAAAGATGAGTTCTATGGAAGAAAAATTATAATCATCTAATCTGTGTATAATAAATAATGGAATAATAGAAATCACAAATAAGAAATAAATAGTATAGAAAAAATATATTTTTAATTTAAATTAATAAAGCCCAAACCTACAGAGCAGAAAAGGTCCCTGAAAATCACCAACTCAAGAATGCAAAAATATTTTCAAAATTTTATTAGAACTTCTGGCAGAGCAAAATGGCCAAATAGCAGCTTACATCATTCATCCCCTCTGTAGGAACACCAAATTTTGGTAACTACACAAAAAAATCACCATCACAGGAAGCAAAAATCATGTGAGCAATCATAGTACCTGGTTTTAACTTCATACCACGGAAAGAGTCATTGAAGAGGGCAGGAAAGACAATCTTGAAGTACCAATGACACCCCTCCCCCATATCCCATGCAGCATGGAGAATCTGTGCACTTAGGAGGAAAAGACTGCAGCAATTGTGAGGCTTTGCATTGAACCCAGTGCTGTCCTGCAGAAGGCAGAATCAGTCTGTACTCAGCTAATGTTCACCACAGAGGGAGCATTTGGACTGGGCCTAGCCAGCAGGAAATCGTCCATCCCAGTGGTCAGAGATTGAGTTTCAGCAAGCCTTGCTACTGTGGGCTAGAGTGCTCTGGGGCCCTAAGTGAACTTGAAGGGCAGTCTAGGTCACAAGAACTTCAATATCTAGGAAAGTCCTAGTGCTGAGCTGGGCTTAGAGCCAGCGGACTCGGGGGCATGAGACCTACTGAGATACCAGCCAGGTTGGCTTACATCACCCATGGTGCACTGCTGGCAGCAGCAGCATGGGGCAGAGATATCTTTGCACTTGAGAGAGGGAGAGCACAGTGACTGGGGGATTTTACATTGAAGTCAGTGCAGCCCTGTCACAGCGAAGACCTGGCAATATTCATCACCTGCTGACTAAAGAGCACCTGGGGTCTGAATAACTACCAGCAATACCAAGTAATACACTGTGGGCCTTGGGCTCTGAGAGATGATGGCTTCAGGTGTGACCCAGCACGTTCACAGCTGTGGTGACTATGGTGAAAGACTCCTTCTGTTTGAGAAAAGTAGAGGGAAAAGTAAAGGGGACTCTGTCTTGCACGTTAGGTCCCAGCTCAGCCACAATGGGGTACAGCACCAAGCAGGCTCTTGAGGTCTCCAAGTCCAGGCCTAGGATCTTGGTCAGCATATCTAGACCTGCTCTGGGCCAGAGAGGAGCCCACTGCCCTGAAGGTTGAGTCCCAGGCCTGGCAGCATTCACCACAAGCTGACAGAAGAGTCTTTGGGCATTAAGTGAACATCAGCAGTGCCTGGCAGAACCCTCTGTGGGTTGTTGCTGGTGGTGGCCACAGGGAGAGGCTCCTCTGCCTGTGGAAAGGGGAGGGAAGAAAGGGAAGGACTTTGTCTTGTGGTTTGAATGCCAGCTTAGCCACAGTAGAACAGCACACCAGGTAAATTTCTGTTTTTTACTTCAATCTGTGGCTCCCAGACAGCATCTCTGGACCTATCCAGGGCCTGGGGGAACTCACTGCCTTGAAGAGAGGGACACAAATCTGGCTGGCTTTGTCAGCTACTGATTGTAGAGCCTTAGGACTTTGAGTGAATGTAGGTGGTAACCAGATATTAGTAACAGTGGGCCTTGGGTGAGACCCAGTGCTGTGCTGGCTTCAGCTCTTAACAGTGCAGTGCAGTTAGTAGTGGCCACAGGGGTGCTTGTGTCATACTACTCCCAGTTCTAGGAAGCTCAATATATATAGAGAGAGACTGTTTGGGAGAAGGTAAAGGGAAAGAACAAGATTCTCTGCCTGGTAATCCAGAGAATTCTTCCAGATTTTATCCAAGACTACCAAGGCGGTACCTCTAAGAGTCAGCAAGAACTACAGCATAATTGGATTTGGAGCCAAAGTCCCTTCGAATACCTGGAAAGCTTCCTCAAAAATGATGTGCACAAAAAAAGCCCAGACTCTGAAGACAACAATAAATGCCTAACTCTTCAATTCTCAGACACCAACAAACATACACAATCAACAACGCCAACTAGGAAAACATGATCTCACCAAATTAACTAAATAAATAAGGTATGAGGGACCGATCCTGGAGAAACAGAGATATGTGACCTTTTTGACAGATAATTCTAAATAGCTGTGTTGAGGAAACTCCAAGAAATTCAAGATAACACAAAAAAGGAATTCAGAAGTATATCAGATAAATTTAATAACGAGATTGAAATTATTAAAAATAAACAGAAGTTCTTGACTTGAAAAATGCAATTGACATATTGAGGAATGCACTGAAGTCTCTTAATAGCAGAATTGATCAAGCAGGAGAAATAATTAGTGAGCTTGAACACAGGCTATTTGAAAATACACCATCAGAGGAGACAAAAGAAAAAGAAAACAAAAAGAATGAAGCTTGCCTACAAGATCTAGAAAATATCCTCAAAAGGGCAAATCTAAGAGTTATTGGTCTTGAAGAGTAGGTAGAGAAAGATACGATTAGAAAGTTTATCAAAAGGAGAGTGTTAGAGAACTCCCCAAACCTAAAGAAATGTCAAGTGCAAGAAGGTTATAGATTTAACCAAGCAGATTCAACCCAAAGAAGACTACCTCAAGGCATTTAATAATCAAACTCTCAAAGGCCAAAGGTAAAGAAACAATCCTAAAAGCAAGATAAAAGAAACAAATCACATACAGTGGAGCTCCAATATGTCTGGTAGCAGACTTCATTGGAATCCTTACAGGCCAGGAGAGAGTGGTATGACATATTTAACATGCTGAAGGGAAAAAAAAAAACCTCACCCTTGAGCAGTATATTCAGCAAAATATCTTTTAAGCCTGAAGGAGAAATAAAAACCTTCCCAAAGAAAAGCTGAGGAATTGTATCAATAGCTGAAAGAAGGGGCATTAATAAGCAATAAGAAATCATCTGAAGGTGCAAAACTCACTGGTAATAGCATACAGAAAAACACAGAATATAATAACACTGTAATTGTAGTGTGTAAAATACTCTTATCTTACATCAAAAGGCTAAATAGAACACCAGTCAAAAATAATATCTACAATGACTTTCCAGACATAGACAGTAAAATAAGACATATAGATAAACAACAAAATTTAAAAAGCAGGTTGGAGGATGTTAAAGAGTGGAGTTTTTATTAGTTTTCTTTTTGATTTATTTGTTTGTGAAATCAGTGTTGTCATCAATTTAAAATAATGGCTTATAAGATAGTATTTGCAAGGCTCACGATAATCTCAAATCGAAAAATATACAATGGATACGCAAAATATAAAAAGGAAGACATTAAGTCATATCACCAGAGAAAAATCACATCCACTAAAAGGAAAACAGAAAGAGAAGACTACAAAATAACCAGAAAACAAATAACAAAATAGCTGGACTAAGTCCTCACTTATCAATATAACATTAAATGTAAATGGACTAAACTCTCCCATCAAAAGACACAGAATGGCTGAATGGACAAAAAAGCAAGACCCATTGATCTGTGGCTACAAGGAGCACACTTCATCTATAAATATACACATAGACTGAAAATAACGGGATGGAAAACGATATTCCATGCCAAAGGAAACCAAAAAAGAGCAGGAGTAGCTACACTTGTATTAGACAAAATAGATTTCAAGCCAAAACCTGCAAGAAGAGACCAAAAGCTCATTACATAATGATAAAGGGGTCAATTCACCAAGAGAATATAACAATTATAAATACAAAAATATGTATAACCTCCAGTGCTCCCAACACTGGGGCACCCAGATGTATAAAGCAAACATTAGAGCTAAAGAGAGAGATAAACCTTAATACAATAATAGCTGGAGACTTCAATACCCCACTTTCAGCATTGGACAGATCTTTCAAACAGAATATCAATAAAGAAACATCAGACTTAATCTGCACCATAGACCAAATGGACCTAATAGATATTTACTGAACATTTCATCCAAAGGCTCCAAAATACACATTCTTCACCTCAGCACATGGATAATTCTCAAGGATAGACCATATTTTCTGTCACAAACAAGTCTTAAAACATTAAAAAAAACTTGAAATAATTTCAAGTATCTTCTCTGACCACAATGGAATAAAACTACAAATCAATAACAAGACTGTCACAAACAAGTCTTAAAACATTAAAAAAAACTTGAAATAATTTCAAGTATCTTCTCTGACCACAATGGAATAAAACTACAAATCAATAACAAGAGGACGTTTGGAAACAATAAAAACACATGAAAATTAAACAATTGCTCTTGAATGACCAGTAAATGAAGAACTTAAGAGGAAAATTGAAAGATTTGTTGTGACAAATGATAATGGAAACACAAGATACCAAAACCTATGGGATACAGGGAAAGCAGTTCTATTAGTTCATGCTTGCAGTGCTATAAAGAAATACCTGAAACTGGGGAATTTATAAAAAAGAGGTCGAATTGGCTCACAGTTTTGCAGGCTGTACAGGAAGCACAGCTGGGTAGGCCTCAGGAAACTTACAATCATGAAAGAAACAAAGGGGAAGCAGCATGTCTTATATGATCAAAGCCAGGGGAAGAGAAAGTGTGGGGGAGGTGCCACACACTTTTAAACAATCAGATCTCATAATAACTCACTCACAATTACAAGAACAGCACCAAAGGGTAAATCTGCCACCATGATCTCATCACCTCCTACCAGGACCCACCTCCAACACTGGGAATTACAATTTGATATAAGATTTGGTTGGGAACACAGATCCAAACCATATCATTTTGCCCCTGGCCTCTCCCAAATCTCATGTTATTCTCACATTTCAAAATACAGTAATGCCAACAGTCCCCCAAAGTCTTAACTCACTCCAGCATTAACTCAAAAGTCTAAAGCACAAAGTCTCACCTAAAACAAGAAGAGAAGATCACAAAACAACCAGAAAACAAATAACAAAATAGCTGGAGTAAGTCCTTTCTGTCTATGAGCCTGTAAAATAAAAAACAAGTTAGTTGCTTCCAAGACACAATGGGGTTTTAGGCATTGGGTGAGTACTCCCTTTCCAAAAGGGAGACACCAAAACAAAACAAAAAGGTTAAAGACCCCATGCAAGTTCAAAACCCAGCAGGGCAGTCTTTAAATCTTAAAGCTCTAAATAATCTCCTTTGACTCCATGTATCACATCCAGGCCACACTCATGCAAGGGGTGGGCTCACAAGGCCTTGGACAGCTCCACTTCTGTGGCTCTGCAGAGCTCAGCCCCCACAGCTGCTCTCAAGGGCTGGCATTATGTTCCTGTGGCTTTTCCAGGTACATGATGCAAGCTCTTGGTGGATCTCCCTTTCTGGGGTCTGGAGGACAGTAGACCTCTTCTCACAGCTCCACTAGGCAGTGCCCCAGTGGGGACTCTGTTTGGGGGCTCCAATCCCACATTTTCTCTCCATGCTGTCCTAGTAGAGGCTCTCCATGAGGATTTCACTTCTGCACCAGCTTCTGCCTGTACATCCTGGGTTTTCCACACATCTTCTGTAAACTAGGTGGAGGCTCCTAAGCCTCAACTATTGCACTCTACATCCCTGTAGGCTTAACATCATGTGGAAGCTGCCAAAGCTTATGGCTTGCTCTTTCTGAAGCAGCAGTCTGCTTCTGCCTATTTGAGCTGTGGCAGTAGCAGGAGCAGTCAGGATGCAGGGAGCAGTGTCCCGAGGCTGCACAGGGGAGCAGGGCCCTGGGCCTGGCCCACAAAACCATTCTTCCCTCCGAGGCCTCTGGACCTGTGATGAGAGGGGCTGCCACAAAGGTCTCTGAAATGCCTTCAGGGCCTTTTTCCCATTGTCTTGGCTATTCGTACTTGCCTTCCTTTTAGTTATGGAAATTTCTGCAACTGACTTGAATTCCTCCCCAGAAAATGGGCTTTTCCTTTATACTACATGGCTGGGCTGCAAATTTTCCAAACATTTATTCTCTGCTTCCCTTCTAAACATAAGTTTCTGTTTTAGGTCATTTCTTTGCTCACTCATATGACATAGGATTTTAGAAGCGGCCAGGGCAAATCTTGAACAATTTGCTGCTTAGAAGTTTCTTCTACCAGATATCCTAAATAAACTCTCTCAAGTTCAAAGTTCCACAGATCCCTGGAGTAGGGGCACAATGTCACCAGTCTCTTTGCCAAAGCATAGCAAGAGTGACCTTCACTCCAGTTTCTAATAAGTTCCTCATTTCTATGTGAGACCTCCTCAGCCTATACTTCACTGTCCATTTCACTATCAGCATTTTGATCACGACTATTCAAAAAGTCTCTAAGAAGTTCCAAACTTTCCCTCATCTTCCTGTTGACTTCTGAGCCCTCCAAACTGTTCCATTCTCTGCCCATTACCCAGGGTCCAAAGTCACTTCCACATTTTCAGGTATCTTTATAGCAACGCCCCACTCCCAGTACCAATTTTCTATATTAGTCTATTCTTGCACTGCTATAAGGAAATACCTGCGACTGGGTAATTTACAGAGAAAAGAGGCTTAATTGACTCACAGTTCTGGAGACTGTACAGGAAGCATGTCTGAGGAGGTCTCAGGAAAGTTACAATAATGGCAGAAGGTGAAGGGGAAGCAGGCAAGTCTTACGTGGCGAGAGCAGGAGGAAGAGCGTAGGGGAGGTGCCACACACTTTTAAACAAGCAGATCTTATGACAACTCATTCACTATCACAAGAAACACACCAAAGGGGAAATTCATCCTCATGATCCAATCACCTCCCACCAGGACCCATCTCCAACATTTGGGATTATAATTTGATGTGAGATTTGGACAGGGAAACAGACCCAAACCATATCAGCAGTACTAGAAGGGAAATTTATAGCTATAAGTGCCTACATCCAAAAAGAAGACAAACTTCTAATAAATAAACTAATGATGCATCTTAAGGAACTAGAAAAGAAAGAACAAACCAAATGCAAAATTACTAGAAGAAAAATGATAAAGATCAGAACAGAAATACATGAATTTGAAATGAAGAAAACAATGTAAGAGTCAAGAAAATGAAAAGTTGGCATTTTGTAGAGATAAAGAAAATTGACAAATCTTTAACCAGACTAAGAAAAAAAGAAAGAAGCCCCAAATAAATAAAATCAGAGATGAAAAAGGAGACATTACAACTGATACTACAGAAATTCAAAGGATCATTAGGAGCTACTATGACCACTATATGCTAAAAAATTGGAAAAGCTAGAGAAAATGAACAAATTCCCAGACACATGCAACCTAGCAAGATTGACCATGAAGCAATCCAAAATCTGAACAGACCTACCAAGATTGACCATGAAGCAATCCAAAATCTGAACAGACCAATAACAAGTAATGAGATTGAAACCATAATAAAAATTCTCCCAGTAAAGAAAAGCCCAAGACCTGATGGCTTCATTGCTGAATTCTAATAAACATTTAAAGAACTAATACCAATCCTACTCAAACTATTCAAAGAAATAGAGGAGGAGGCAATACTTCCAAGCTCATTCTATGAGGCCAGTATTACCTTGATATCAAAATCAAAGATACATTAAAAAAATTACAGGCCAATATCTCTGATTTGATATTGATGCAAAAATCATCAACAAAGTACGAGCAAATGGAATTCAGCAAGGCATTAAAAAGATCTTTTATTATGACCAAGTGGAATTTACCTCCAGGATGCAAAGATGGTTCAACATACACAAATCAATCAATGTGATGCATCATATCAGCAGAATAAAGGACAAAAACCATATGATCATTTCAATTGATGCTGAAAAAACATTTGATAAAATTTAACATCCCCTCATGATAAAAATCTTCAGAAAACTGGTATAGAAGGAACATACCTCAAGACAATAAAAGCCATATATGACAGACACACAGCTAGTATCATACTGAAGGGGAAAAACTAAAAGGCTTTCCTCTGATATCAGGAGCATGACGAGGATGCCCACTTTCACCACTATTATTCAACATAGTACTGGAAGTCCTAGCTAGAGCAACTGGACAAGAGAAAGAAGTAAAGGGGATTCCAGTTGAAAAGGAAGAAGTAAAATTATCCTTGTTTGCAGATGATATAAGACTCCACCAAACAACTTTTAGAACTAATAAATTTAGTACAGTTGCAGGATACAAGATTAACATGCAAAAATCAGTAGCATTTCTGTATGTTAACAGTGAACAGTCTGAAAAAGAAACGTAAAAAGTAATTCCATTTACAATAAAGCCACAAATAAAATATCTAGGAATTAGCCAAATATATAAAAGATTTCTACAATGAGAACTATAAACACTGATAAAAGAAATTGAAGAGGACACACAAAAAACGGAAAGATATTCCGAGTTCATGGATAGGGAGAATCAATATTGTTAAAATGTCCCACCACCCAAAGCAATCTACTGATTCAATGCAATTCCTATCAAAATACCAATGACATTCTCCACAGAAGTAGAAAAAACAATCCTAAAATTTATATGGAACCACAGACACACAAAAAAACAGAATAGTCAAAGCTATTCTAGGCAAAAAGAGCAAAACTAGAGGAATCACATTATCTGATTTCAAGTTATATTGCAGAGCTACAGTAACCAAAACCGCATAGTACTGGCATAAAAACAGACACATAGACATATGGAACAGAACAGAGAACCTAAAAACAAATTCATACACCTACAGTCAACTAATTTTTCACAAAGCTTCCAAGAACATATGTATTAGTCCATTTTCATGCTGCTTATAAAGACAAACCTGAGACTGGGTAATATCTAAAGAAAAAGAGGTTTAATGGACTCACAGTTCCACATTGCTGGGGAGCCCTCAAAATCATGATGGAAGGCAAAAGGCATGTCTTGCATGGCAGCAGACAAGAGAGAAAATGAGAGATCAGTAGATCTTGTGAGACTTATTCACTACCATGACAACAGTATGGGGGAAACTACCCCCATGATTCAATTATTTCCCACTGGGTTCCACCCACAACATATGGGAATTATGGGAGCTACAACTCAAAATGAGACTTGGGTAGGCACACAGCCAAACCATATCAACATACCTGACACCTATTTTCTGAGTGATATGGTTTGGCTGTGTACCCACCCAAATCTCATCTTGAGTTGTAGCTCCCATAATTCCCATATGTCATGGAAGGGACCCAGTTGGAGGTAATTGAATCATGGATGTGAGTCTTTCCCATGCAGTTCTCATGATAGTGAATATGTTTCACAAGATCTGGTCATTTTATAAAGAAGAGTTCCCCTGCACACTCTCCCTTGCCTACTGTCATGTGATATCTGACTTTGCTCCTCATTTGTCTTCCAACAGGATTTTAAGGCCTCCCCAACCATGTGTAACTCTGAGTCAGTAAAACCTCCTTCCTTTATAAATTACCCAGTCCTGAGTATGTATTTTTTAGCAGTGCGAAAACAGACCAATATAGTAAAATTGTATCAGTAGAGTGAGGTGCTGCTGTAAAGATACCTGAAAATGTGGAAGTGACTTTGAAACTGGGTAACAGGCAGAGGTTGGAACAGTTTGAAGAGCTCAGAAGAAGACAGGAAAATGTGAGAAAGTTTGGAGCTTGTTAGAGACTTGTCAAGTGCTTTGACAAATGAGGTGATAGTGATATGGACAATGAAGGCCATGCTAATGTGGTCACAGATGGAGATGAGGCACTTGTTGGGAAATGGAGCAATGGTGACTCTAGTTATGCTTTAGCAAAGCTACTGGCACCATCTTGTTCATGCCCTAGAGATCTGTGGAATTTTTACCTTGAGAGAGATGATTTAGGGTATCTGGTGGAAGAAATTTCTAAGCAGCAAAGCATTCAATAGGTGATTTGGGTACTGTTAAAAGCATTCCCTTCTATATATTCACAATGATATGGTTTGGAATTAGAACTTACGTTTAAAAGGGAAGCAGAGCATAAAATTTCAAAAAATTTGCATCCTGATGATGCAGTAGAAAAGAAAAACCCATTTTCTGAGGAGAAATTCAGGCCTGCTGCAGAAATTTAAGTAATGAGGAACCAAGTGTTAATCACTGACAATGGGGAAAATGTCTCCAAGGCATGTCAGAGACCTTTGTGGCAGTCTCTCCCATACACCCCAGAGGCCGAGGAGGAGAAAATGGTTTCCTGCATCATATCCAGGACCCCTTTGCTGTGTGCAGCCTTGGGACTTGGCTCCCTGTATCACAGCCACTCCAGCCATGGGTAAAAGGGGCCAAGGTACAGCTTGGGCCATGGCTTCAGAGGGTGTAAGCCCCCAGCCTTGGCAGCTTCCACATGGTGTTGATTCTGCTGGTACACAGAAGTTAAGAATTGAGGTTTGGGAACCTCCACCTAGATTTCAGAGGATCTATGGAAATGACTGCATGTCCAGGCAGAAGTTTGCTGCAGGGGTGGAGCCCTCATGGAGAAACTCTGCTTGGGCAGTACAGAAGGGAAATGTAGGGTTGAAGCCCCCACACAGAGTCCCCACTGGGGCATTGCCTGGGGGAGCTGTGAGAAAAGGGCCCAGACACCAGAAGGGTAGATGGACTGACAACTTGCACTGTGCTCCTAGAAAAGCTGCAGACACTCAACAACAGCCAGTGAAAGCAGCTGGGAAAGGGGGGCTGTACCCCAAAAAGCCACAGGGGCAGAGCTGCACAAGACCATGGGAGGCCACCTTTTGGATCAGCGTGACCTGGATGTGAGACATGGAGTCAAAGGAGATCATTTTGTAACTTTGAGGTTTAATGACTGCCCTACTGGATTTCGGACTTCCATGGGGCCTTTAGCCCCCTTGTTTTGACCAATTTCTCCCATTTGAAATGGCTGTGTTTACCCAATGCCTATATTCCCATTGTATCTAGGAAGTAGCTAACTTGCTTTTGATTTTACCTGCGCATAGGTGAAAGGGAATTGTCTTGTCTCAGATGAGACTTTGGACTGTGGACTTTTGAGTTAATTCTAAAATGACTTAAGACTTTGAGGGACCTTGGGGAAGGCATGATTGGTTTTGAAATGTTAAGATATGAGATTTGGGAGGGGTCTGGGGTAGAATGATATGGTTTGGCTGTGTCCCCACCCAAATCTCATCTTGAATTGTAACCCCCATGATTGCCATGTGTCATGGGAGGGACCACAGTAGGAGGTAATTGAATCATAGGGGTGGGTCTTTCCCATGCTGTTTTTGTGATAGTGATGGTTTTATAAAGGGGAGCTCCCCTGCACACTCTCTCTTACTGGCTGCCATGTAAGATGTGACTTTGCTCCTCATTTGGCCTTCTGCCATGATTATCAGGCCTCCCAATCATGTAGAACTGTGAGTCAATTAAACTTCTTTCCTTTATAAATATCCAATCTTGGGTATGCCTTTACTGAGACATACCCGAGTATGTAGTAGTCTGCATGAGAACAGACTACTAATAGGCTGAGTAATATGCCACAAGCACATGCACCCAAAGCAAAAATGGACAAATGGATCACACCAAGTTAAAAAGTTTCTGCACAATGCAGGAAACAATCAACAAAAGGAGGAGACAATTCACAACATAGGAGAAAATATATGCAAATAACCCATCTGACAAGGGATTAATAACCAGAATATATAAGGAGCTCAAACATGTCTATAGAAAAAAATATAATAATCCAATAAAAAATGGGCGAAATATTTGAATAGTTATTTCTCAAGGAAGGCATATAGATGGCAAACAAGCATATGAAAAGGTGTTCAACATCTTTGATCACTAGAGAAATGCAAGTCAAATGTACAACGAGATATCATCTCATGCCAGCTAAAATGGCTTTTATCCAACACAGGCAATAACAAATGCTGGCAAGGATGTGGAGAAAAGGGAATTCTCATACACTTTTGTATGAGGATTGAAATCAAAACAACTGAACCTATATAGATAGAGAGTAGAAGGATAGTGGGAATGCAAATTAGTACAACCACTATAGAGAACAGTTTGCAGGTTCCTCAAAAAACTAAAAATAAAGCTACAATAAGATCAAGCAATCCCACTGCTGGGTACATACCAAAACAAAGGAAATCAGTGTATCAAAGAGATATCTGCACTCCCATGTTTGCTGCAGCACTGTTCACAATGGCCAAGATTTGAAAGCAACCTAAGTGTCCATCGATAAATGAATGGAAAAAGAAAATGTGGTACATACACACAATGGAGTACAATGCAGCTATAAAAAGGGATAAGATTCTGTCATTTGCATCAAGATAGATGGAAATGGAGATCATTATGCTAATGAAATAAGTCGGGCACAGAAAGACAAACTTGGCATGTCTTTCCTTATTTGTGGGTCCTAAAAATCAAAACAATTGAATCAATGAGGATAGAGAGTAGAGGTATGGTTACTAGAGTCTGGGAAGGGTAGTGCTGGGGTGAGAAAGAATTGGGGATGGTTATTGGGTACAAAAAATACACAATCAGAAAGAAGGAATAAGACCTAGTATTTGATAGCATAGCGGAATTAGTCAATAATAATTTAATTGTACATTTAAAAATAACTAAGAGAGTATAATTTGATTGTATGTTACAAACTGATATATGCTTGAGGGGATGGATATCCCATTTTCCATGATATAATCATTTCTTATTGCACACCTGTATCAAAGTATCTTCTGTAACTATACACACACACACACACACACACACACACACACTCCTTACTGTGTATCCATAAAAATTAAAAAAATTGATCCTACCTATATTCATCTACAATGTTATTACCCTCAAAGGTGATATACAGTTTACCCTTGAAAAACAGGATTTTGAAAGATTACAGTTCCGGCTATGTTATAAGATGGCCGAATAAGAACAGTTCCAGTCTGCAGCTCCCAGTGTGATTGACGCAGAAGATGGGTGATTTCTGCATTTCCAACTGAGCCTCCGCTGGTGATACCAGGCAAAGAGGGTCTGTAGGGGACCTCCAGCAAACTCCAACAGACCTGCAGCTGACAGACCTGTTAGAAGGAAAACTAACAAACAGAAAGGAATAACATCACCATCAACAAAAAGGACATCTACACCAAAACTCCCTCTGTAGGACACCAACATCAAAGACCAAAGGTAGATAAAACCACAAAGATGGGGAGAAACCAGAGCAGAAGAGCTGAAAAGTCTAAAAATTAGAGTGCCTCTTCTCCTCCAAAGGATCGTGCTCACCCGCAATGGATCAAAGCTGGATGGAGAATGATTTTGAGTAGTTGAGAGAAGTAGGCTTCAGAAGGTCGGTAATAACAAACTTCTCCAAGCTAAAGGAGCATGTTTGAACCCATCACAAGGAAGTTAAAAACCTTGAAAAAAGATTAGAAGAATGGCAAACTAGAATAAACACTGTAGAGAAGACCTAAAATGACCTGACGGAGCTGAAAACCATGGCACGAGAACATTGTGACGCATGCACAAGCTTCAATAGCCGATTCAATGAAGTGGAAGAAAGGGTACCAGTGACTGAAGATCAAATTAATGAAATAAAGTCAGAATACAAGATTAGAGAAAAAGGAGTAAAAAGAAATAAACAAAGCCTCCAAGAAATATGGGACTATGTGAAAAGACCAAATCTACGTTTGATTGGTGTACCTGAAAGTGATGGGGAGAATGGAACCAAGTTGGAAAACACTCTTCAGGATATTATCCAGGAGAACTTCCCCAACCTAGCAAGACAGGCCGACATTCAAATTCAGAAAATACAGAGAACACCACAAAGATAATTCTTGAGAAGAGCAAACCTAAGGCACATAATTGTCAGATTCACCAAGGTTGAAATGAAGGAAAAAATGTTAAGGGTAGCCAGAGAGAAAGGTTGGGTTACCCACAAAGGGAAGCCCATCAGACTAACAGTGGATCTCTCAGCAGAAATCTTACAAACCAGAAGAGAGTGGGGACCAATATTCAACATCCTTAAAGAAAAGAGTTTTCAATCCAGAATTTCATATCCAGACAAACTAAGCTTCAGAAGTGAAGGATAAATAAAATCCTTTACAGACAAGCAAATGCTGAGAGATTTTGTCAACACTAGGCCTGCCTTACAAGAGCTCCTGAAGGAAGGACTAAACTTGGAAAGAAACAACCAGTACCGGCCACTGCAAAAACATGCCAAATTGTAAAGACCAAGGATGCTATGAGGAAACTGCATGAATTGATGGGCAAAATAACCAGCAAACATCATAATGACAGGATCAAATTCACACATAACAGTATTAACCTTAAATGTAAATGCACTAAATGCCCCAATTAAAAGACACAGACTGGCAAATTGGATAAAGAATCAAGACCCATCAGTGTGCTGTATTCAGGAGACCCATGTCACATGCAAAGATGCACATAGGATCAAAATAAACGGATGGAGGAAGATCTACCAAGCAAATGGAAAGCAAAAAAAAAAAAAAAAAAAAAAAAAAAAAGCAGGGGTTGCAATCCTAGTCTCTGTTAAAACAGACTTTAAACCAACAAAGATCAAAAGAGACAAAGACGGCCATTGCATAATGGTAAAGGGATCAATTCAACAAGAAGAGCTAACTATCCTAAATATATATGCACCCAATACAGGAGCACCCAGATTCATAAAGCAAGTCCTTAGAGACCCACAAAGAGACTTGGACTCCCATACAATAATAATGGGAGACTTTAAAATCCCACTGATAATATTAGACAGATCAACGAGACAAAAGGTTAACAAGGATATCCAGGACTTTAACTCAGCTCTGCACCAAGTGGACCTAACAGACATCTACAGAACTCTCCACCCTAAATCAACAGAATATACATTCTTCTCAGCACCACATCAAACTTATTCTAAAATTGGCCACATAATTGGAAGTAAAGCACTCCTCAGCAAATGTAAAAGAACAGAAATTATAACAAACTATCTCTCAGACCACAGTGGAATCAAATTAGAACTCAGGATTAAGAAACTCAGTCAAAACAACACAACTACATGGAAACCGAACAACTTGCTCCTTAATGACTACTTTGTAAATAACAAAATGAAGGCAGAAATAAAGATGTTCTTTGAAACCAATGAGAAATAAGACACAACGTACCAGAATCTCTGGGACACATCTAAAGCAGTGTGTAGAGGGAAATTTATAGCACTAAATGCCCACAAGAGAAAGCAGGAAATATCTAAAATTGACATAATATCACAATTAAAAGAACTAGAGAAGCAAGAGCAAACACATTCAAAAGCTAGCAGAAGGCAAGAAATAACTAAGATCAAAGCAGAACTGAAAGAGATAGAGACACAAAATCCCTTCAAATAATCAATGAATCCAGGAGCTGGTATTTGAAAAGATCAACAAAATTGATAGACCACTAGCAAGACTAATAAAGAAAAAAAGAGAGAAGAAACAAATAGATGCAATAAAAAATGATAAAGGGGATATCACCACCGATCCCACAGAAATACAAACTACCATCAGAGAATACTATAAACACCTCTATGCAAATGAACTAGAAAATCTAGAAGAAATGGATAAATTCCTGGACACATACATCCTCCCAGGAATAAACCAGGAAGATGTTGAATCCCTGAATAGGCCAATAACAGGCTCTGAAATGGAGGCAATAATTAATAGCCTACCAACCAAAAAAAAATCCAGGACCAGATGGATTGACAGCCAAATTCTAGCAGAAGTACAAAGAGGAGCTGGTACCATTCCTTCTGAAACTATTGCAATCAATAGAAAAAGAGGGAATCCTCCCTACCTCATTTTATGAGGCCAACATCATCCTGATACCAAAGCCAACAAAAAAAGAGAATTTTAAACCAATATCCCTTATGAATATCGATGCGAAAATCCTCAGTAATATACTGGCAAACCAAATCCAGCAGCACATCTCAAAGCTTATCCAACACAATCAAGTCAGCTTCATCCCTGGGATGTCAGGCTGGTTCAACATACACAAATCAATAAATGTAATGCATCACATAAACACAACCAATGACAAAACCACATGATGATCTCAATGTAAAGCATCACATAAACAGAACCAATGAAAAACCACATGATTATCTCAATAGATGCAGAAAAGGCCTTCGACAAAATTCAACAGCGCTTCATGCTAAAAACTCTCAATAAATTAGGTATTGATGGGATGTATCTCAAAATAATAAGAGCTATCTATGACAAACCCACAGCCAATATCATACTGAATGGACAAAAACTGGAAGCATTCCCTTTGAAAACTGGCACAAGACAGGGATACCCTCTCTCACCACTCCTATTCAACATAGTGTTGGAAGTTCCGGCAAGGGCTATCAGGCAAGAGAAAGAAATGAAGCATATTCGATTAGGAAAAGAGGAAGTCAAGTTGTCCCTGCTTGCAGATGAAATGATTGTATATTCAGAAAATCCCATCATCTCAGCCCAAAATCTCTTTAAACTGATAAGCAACTTCAGCCAAGTCTCAGGATACAAAATCAACATGCGAAAATCACAAGAGTTCCTATACACCAATAACAGACAAACAGAGAGCCAAATCATGAGTGAACTCCCATTCACAATTGCTACAAAGAGAATAAAACACCTAGGAATCCAACTTACAAGGGATGTGAAGGACCTCTTCAAGGAAAACTACAAACCACTGCTCAACAAAATAAAAGAGGACACAAACAAATGGAAGAACATTCCATGATCATGGGTAGGAAGAATCAATATCATGAAAATGGCCATACTGCCCAAGGTAATTTATAGATTCAATGCCATCCCCATCAAACTACCAATGACTTTCTTCACAGAACTGGAAAAAACTACTTTAAAGTTCATATGGAACCAAAAAAGAGCCCACATTGCCAGGACGATCCTAAGCAAAAAGAACAAAGGTGGAGGCATCACGCTACCTGGCTTCAAACTATACTACAAGGCTATGGTAACCAAAACAGCATGGTACTGGTACCAAAACAGACATACAGACCAATGGAACAGAACAGAGAGAGGCCTCAGAAATAACACCACACATCTACAACCATCTGGTCATTGACAAACCTGACAAAAACAAGAAATGGGGAAAGGATTCCCTATTTAATAAATGGTGCTGGGAAAACTGGCTAGCCATATGTAGAGAGCTGAAACTGGATCCCTTCCTTACACCTTACACAAAAATTAATTCAAGATGGATTAAAGACTTAAATGTTAGACCTAAAACCATAAAAACTCTAGAAGAAAACCTAGGCAATACCATTCAGGACATAGGCACGGGCAAGGACTTCATGACTAAAACACCAAAAGCAATGGCAACAAAAGCCAAAATAGACAAATGGGATGTACTTAAACTAAAGAGCTTCTGCACAGCAAAAGAAACTACCATCAGAGTGAACAGGCAACCTTCAGAATGAGGGAAAATTTTTGCAATCTACCCATCTGACAAAGGGCTAATAACCAGAATCTACAAAGAACTTAAACAAATGTACAAGAAAAAAACAAATAACCCCATCCAAAAGTGGGCAAAGGATATGAACAGACACTTCTCAAAAGAAGACATCTATGCAGCCAACAGACACATGAAAAAATGCTCATCATCACTGGTCGTCAGAGAAATGCAAATCAAAACCACAATGAGATACCATCTCATGGCAGTTAGAATGGCGATCATTAAAAAGTCAGGAAACAACAGGTGCTGGAGAGGATGTGGAGAAATAGGAACACTTTTACACTGTTGGTGGGACTGTAAACTAGTTCAATCATTGTGGAAGACAGTGTGATGATCCCTCAAGGATCTACGACTAGAAATACCATTTGACCCAGCAATCCCATTACTGGGTATATACCCGAAGGATTATAAATCATGGTACTATAAAGACACATGCACATGTATGTTTATTGTGGCACTATTCACAATAGCAAAGACTTGGAACCAACCCAAATGTCCATCAATGATAGACTGGATTAAGAAAATGTGGCACATACACACCATGGAATACTATGCAGCCATAAAAAGGATGAGTTTACGTCCTTTGCAGGGTCATGGATGAAGCTGGAAACCGCCATTCTCAGCAAACTATCACAAGGACAGAAAACCAAACACCACATGTTCTCACTCATAGGTGGGAATTGAACAATGAAATCACTAGGATACAGGGCGGGGAACATCACATACTGGGACTTGCCAGAGGGTAGGGGGCTGGGGAAGGGATAGCATCAGGAGAAATACCTAATATAAATGACGAGTTGATACTGGCAGCAAACCAACATGGCACATGTATACCTATGTATCGAAACTGCAAGGTGTGCACATGTACCCTATAACTTAAAGTATAATAAAAAACAAATAAATAAATGAATAAAAATAATAATTTAAAAAGAAAAACAGGAATTTGAACTGCATGGGTCCACTTATATCAGATTTTCTTCTGCTTCAGCCACAGTTGAGACAGCAAGACCAAGCCCTCCTCTTCCTTCTCTGTCTCAGACCACTCAATGTGAAGACGATGAGAGTGAAGACTTTTATGATGATACACTTCTACTTAATGAATAATAAATATAATTTCTCCTATGATTTTCTTAATAACATTTTCTGTTCTCTGGATTACTTTACGGTAAGAGTACAGTGTACGATACATAATACAAAATATGTGTTAATTGATTGTGTTATCGGTAAGGCTTCCGATCATCAGCAGGGTAGTAGTAGCTAAGTTTTGGGGGAGTCAAAAGTTATAAACAGCTTTTCAACTGTGTATGGGGGCTCCCAGTGCCCCTCACCACTACATTGTTCAAGGGTCCACTGAAATTTGATAACTACTTGAAAACTTTTTAGGGCCAGATACTACTTGAAAACTTTTCTTTTGGGGCTTTATATTCTAGCAGCCTTAACTAGTTAAGACCATTTTAAATGGCCTTTTAAGCACTACACTTCCATCTGACTCTAAAGAAGATCCACGTTTAGTTCAAGTGCCAAATAAAATCTACCTGAGACCCAAGAATTTATAAGATAACCAAACTAAAACCGAACCTAATTAAGCAAACTAAAAATATTAAGCTAGTTTAGTTTACATGCAAAACCAGAGGTCTTATCTAACTCTGCTATTAGAGAAATTGAGAAATTAAATCTACACTTGAAAGTACTGAGTTGACTTATCTCAGATAAGGCAGGTAAAATGAAATGAAAGAAAAGTCTTAACAAAATATTCAGTTCAAAATTGGGAGTTAGTGTTCCCAGTGACCTTGTACTGTGGAAAACATGTAAGTGTCAAGGTTTCTTAGACAATGTGACCACAATAGTAGCTTAGACTGCCTATCTCTTTATGCTTGTGCCATCAAGCTCTGCTAATTTGTGGGATGTTGAGAAGAAACTCAAATTGCATAAGTATATTGAACTAAAGGCAAGTGGAATCTTGACTTCTTAATGAACTTGACTGGTAAACACAAATGTATGTAGAAATATTCTACAAGCCCTTCACAAATATTAGCACCCTGCGCCTGGAATTCACACATATTTCACCACTTGGCTGCTCTTGCTCTTCCACCCTTTTTCAGACTGTCTCTCTACTCATGGCTTCTTTCATTCATCTGGATTTACAACCTGTTCTAAATGAGTCTGTTTGGCTTTGACTTGAACCTCAATTCCAGGTCACATCTTGTCCATTTTCTGAAGGACAAGAATCTCGAATACAGATAACAGACACAATGACCCCTGAATCTTGCCCCAAGCTCTGTAGGAATTCTTTCCCCTCCTATCAGGAAAGAGAAATCATTCCTATAGCTGAACTTCCATGAAGTCAACAGAATTGTAATATTTGTAATATTTTAAAAGTGATTTACAGATCAATAAATATTTATCATGATTTCAGTTTCTCCACTGAAGTAGATAAAGAAAAACTTCCTAATGAGCTTGAAATATAAAGCAGCTGCTAACTTTGATAGGGAACTTATTAGCTGAGAGAGAATTACCAAAAGAATACAATTCCCCTGAAAACTGGTAATGAATATATATATGTCTTATAATCATCCTTTAATTTCTGGCTACATAGCAAAAAGATAACTTTAATTTGATTTTATTTGGCTCTGTAAAAGCGCATTCTCTTTCATGAAACTGCAAATTCAAGAGTGGGAGCTACCACTAGTGATGCAGATTTGGAGTCAGTATTGATATGTGGTGATTAAAAAATATCCCACAGGTATTGAAATGAAAATCTTTTAAGTAGCACTATTGTCATTGATTTGCTGAAAAATGATCAATGACTAGCAATGTGCTTTTAATGGTCTACTTATATATATAAATTGATTAAAACTTTAAAATTAATTTTAAATGACTTTCAAACTAGAGATTTTACTATAGAATAGGCTATACCTTATATTTTTATAAATTTTAAATATTCATATAACATGAATACATATAATGTCTGATTGAAAGGCCCATTACTGAAAAATCTGAATGCAATGGCCTAGAAGACAAATTGTCTGTACAAGGAAAAAGAAAGAATTATTATGAATATTAGATTGTAACAACTTGCTCATAGTTCTGTTTATGTGACCATTTCTCACTGATAAATACAGATGAACACAGAGACAGAACCTATAGACTCACTGCCCTGCACATCACAAATGGCCTTCACTACAGAATTATATTCAGCAAGTTAACCCAACACTATAAGCAAATAATCTATGGAGATATAAAAACATATGCTGTTGAAATAAATTTTTTGCATCTGAATATATTTCATGCATAACGTCTTTTTCTCTCTAATTCCTTAAATGGCTTGGGACCTGGATATGCTCATATTAGGATCAATAGAGCACTATATTCTACTATTTTCTTTCTGTATTCTACAAATAACTAGGCCTGAAGAAACTGCACAGGCATGATGAAGAACAATTAGAGATTCAAAAAAGAATGTATACAATTTGAGTTAATAATTAAACTGGGAGAGGTGCATTGCTAACACTGGGAAAACCTAAAGCATATTCACCTGTGAGAACAATTAGCATTTTTCTTATATTTGAAAGCATGATATAGGGAGATATGGTTAAAATGAACTTCAACTTTAGTTGTAATTTTTCAGAAATTGAAGACTTAAGGTTGCCATTGCTTTTGTGATTAATTTACCTACTGCCATGCCCTGAAGTCCTTCACCAAATCTATAGGCAGAAAGAAAAAACAACCATACAAATCGACAAAATGTTTTAATCGAATAAGGAAAATGTAGCATTTGTGAAGATGTAAGAGGGTTGGGGGAGAGGGTGGCATGAATATGCTGACTTCCATGTAATTTCATGTCCCCATGAACTCTTCTCAGGGGTAAAGCAAATGTTTTCATTATCAGAAACATAGTAAATACCAACATGTTAGCAGATGAAATTACTTACACACTCTATGAAGCATAATTCTTGTTTATATTTTGTTCTACAGTATAAACAGAGAAAGTCTGTCAGGAAAGAAACTAAAAATGAAGAAAATATGAGTCTTGTCTAACTGAGAAGCCTACCAGTATCAGGGCCCAACATTCATCATATTAAAAATTCCAATTATGAATCCCTCAATTCGAACCTATCTTTTTAGCATACTTTTTAGATAATTTTGTCTTACTTTTTGGTTTGAGTGGACCATGATCAGCTATCTCTAAGGCCAATTCTAATATCCTGTTAAATTTTTTAGGGAGAGGTTCCAAGATGGCCAAATAGGAACAGCTCCAGTCTACAGCTCCCAGCGTGAGTGACACAGAAGATGGGTGATTTCTGGATTTCCAACTGAGGTACCAGGTTCATCTCACTGGGGCTTGTCAGACAGTGGGTGCAGCCCACGGAGCGTGAACTGAAGCAGGGTGGGGCATCGCCTCACTGGGGAAGCACAAGGGGTTGGGTAATTCCCTTTCCTAGGAAAGGGAAGCCGTGACAGACAGTACCTGGAAAATCGGGACACTCCCACTTTAATACTGTGCTTTTCCAACTGTCTTAGGAAACGGCACACCAGGAGATTATATCCCGCGCATGGCTCGGAGAGTCCCATGCCCACAGAGCCTCACTCACTGCTAGCACAGCAGTCTGAGATCGAACTGCAAGGCAGCAGCGAGGGTGGGGGAGGGGTGTCTGCCATTGCTGAGGCTTGAGTTGGTAAACAAAGTGGCCGGGAAGCTCAAACTGGGTGGCTCCCACTGCAGCTCAAGGAGGCCTGCCTGCCTCTGTAGACTCCACCTCTGGGGGCAGGGCATAGCCAAACAAAAGGCAGCAGAAACTTCTGCAGACTTAAATGTCCCTGTCTGACAGCTTTGAAGAGAGCAGTGGCTCTCCCAGCACGGAGTTTGAGATCTGAGAATGGACAGATTGTTCCTCAAGTGGGTCCCTGACCCCCAAGTAGCCTAACTGGGAGACACCTCCCAGTAGGGGCTGACTGACACCTCATACAGCCAGGTGCCTCTCTGAGATGAAGCTTCCAGAGGAAGGATCAGGCAGCTACACTTGTTGTTCTGCAATATTTGCTATTCTGCAGCCTCTGCTGGTGATACCCAGGCAAACAGGGTCTGGAGTGGACCTCCAGCAAACTCCAACAGACCTGCAGATGAGGGTCCTGACTGTTAGAAGGAAAACTAACAAACAGAAAGGACATCAACACCAAAACCCCATCTGTACGTCACCATCATCAAAGACCAAAGGTAGACAAAACCACAAAGATGGGGAGAAACCAGAGCAGAAAAGCTGAAAATTCTAAAAATCAGAGCGCCTCTTCTCCTCCAAAGGAATGCAGCTGCTCGCTGGCAATGGAACAAAGCTGGACAGAGAATGACTTTGACGAGTTGAGAGAAGAAGGCTTCAGACGATTGGTAATAACAAACTTCTCCTAGCTAAAGGAGGATGTTCAAACCCATCGCAAAGAAGCTAAAAACCTTGAAAGAAGATTAGACGAATGGCTAACTAGAATAAACAGTGTAGAGAAGACCTTAAATGACCTGATGGAGCTGAAAACCGTGGCACGAGAACTACATGACACATGCACGAGCTTCAGTAGCTGATTTGATCAAGGGGAAGAAAGGGTATCAACGATTGAAGATCGAATGAATGAAATGAAGCAAGAAGAGAAGTTTAGAGAAAAAAGAGTAAAAAGAAACAAACAAAGACTCCAAGAAATATGGGACTATGTGAAAAGATCAAATCTACATCTCATTGGTGTACCTGAAAGTGAGTTCATGTCCTTTGTAGGGACATGGATGAAGCTGGAAACCATCATTCTGAGCAAACTATCGCAAGGACAGAAAACCAAACACCGCATGTTCTCACTCATAGGTGGGAATTGAACAATGAGAACACTTGGACACAGGGTGGGGAACATCACACAGTGGGGCCTGTCGTGGGGTGAGGGGATGGGGAGGGATAGCATTAGGAGATATACCTAATGTAAATGACGAGTTAACGGGTGCAGCACACCCACATGGCACATGTATACATATGTAACAAACCTGCACGTTGTGCACATGTACCCTAGAACTTAAAGTGTAATAATAAAGAAAAGAAAGTCAAATTTTAAAAAAATTTTATTAAAGTGCATACTACTCTTGTTTTCCTGAGCCACGTTTTCTACAGCGATCTGGCTTAAAGAAAAGGCAATATGTGAGAGGACACCCTTTAGTCTTGTCTTCCCTGGACTCCCCAGCATGCCAGATTCCAGGGTGGATTTGTAGTCCATTCCTGGTACTGTGTGCCCCTTTCCTCAGGTGTTAGGCTCTTGGTTTTCCTGGCTTTGCCCTTAACTTCAGACAAACCATCATTATTAAATAGATGTTTCTGAACATTCTAAGTTTTGGATTCTGTACAAGACGGTAGCCAAATAAATAATTTGTACATTGCTTGAGTTTGGGTATTTCTGTGGTTGGATAGTTTGGAAATTTAAGAATGTCGTTTGAGCAATATTTTGAAATTGAAACCAGAAAAGGACTTCAAAGCACCAATGTAAGTATTCTACTTTTCTAAGAAAATGGTTTGTAATTTAGGATTTGCTGTTAAGTGTAGATGAGAATTGCTAGCTTACCTGAGCCAGCTGCTACCACTTCATTTTATGCTCATAATAATGAAGTGAGAATTTTGGCAAGTGAAAACTGTTGTTTAAAACCTAAGAGGCTGAAAGCATCTCTCCAACAGTGTATTCAGGGCCAAACCTAATGGTTTACAAACCAGATGATGAGTGTGTACATGTTATGAATTGCTGCTGTATGATGCCTTCCTAGGTTTTGTATACAAAGTGGTGAAAGTTTTCATTCTACTAATGTGACTCATCAATACAACAGATGAGATGTTTGAAATATTGCTGTCATTTCTAATGAATTCATAAGCTATTATTCAATTCTCTTTTATGCTACAAGCCCAGCTGAGATCCCAAGAGTTTGTGTTTAATCAGACACAGTACATGTCTATCTTTCACTAAACATCAGGATAATGACCAATATAATTTTTCAGAAAAAAACAATTTCTTAAGCTTGTCAAGTATGATTTAAGGAGACCCAGTTTATTTCCTTAGAAGAGCCAATTTTTATATAAACTCTTTTACACTTTCTATTCGTTATTCGGTATAGTTTGACTTCCCTTTGAGTATAATCAAAGAATAGCAGGAATAGCTTTAACGCAGTCCCCAAACTGACAAGAAGCTATAGTTGATAGCATGAGTGAAAGCAGAAAGATTGGTTTTAGAAAGAAAACATAAATGGTGTTTGAATTGAACTTTGAGGCTGAAAGAGAAAGAATTTAGAGAACAAGTGCCAGTATTAATATCTTCCAAGGAAGGCAGCTTTAATCTGCATTTAGGTACCAGTCAGGGATAAGAATTGCTAGCTGGTCTGAAACAACGGATATAATCATATTTTATACCAAGGGTGCCCATTGTCATCCTGACACAAAACCTCAGGTTTTTCTCCTAATTGACTGAAAGTGCCGTCATGTTTCTTTATGGTCTTCTTTCTTTTTTTTCTATGAATTTTCTTCTCATTAGGATCTAACTGGAGACCCTTGTTTTTCAGGGTCAAGCCACTGAACTGACTGTGCACACATTCTTGGCTTAGTTACCTGCAAAGTACCTGGAAGTTGCAGTTAGTAACAAATTCAGCTTCTGCAGAATCATGCAAAGGGGAGTGTCTCTTACTTTCATTACTTTTTTTCTTTGGAAAAAAAAATGGCTTCATTATCTGGGAACAGAAAATAAACTTTGAAGTAGGTCTTATTTGGTGGTTTAATATCTAACAAGATTATAGGGAATCTTGTTTTAAAAATATGGTCCAGCACCAGGAATTTGAAAGCACATTCAATTTCCATTCTTTTTTTAAAAAATTTCTTTGTTTTTTCCCATTGATATCTCTATTGCAAAAGGAAGACAAAAGGGGACAAAACTCATTTAGAATGAATCTATCTATCTTATTTATCTATATCTTACATATGGCATTTTCTTTAGCTAGTTGCTATTTAACGCTTTAATGATTTAGATTTTTGATTTAGAATAATTCATATTTTTATAGATACTTGATTAAAAACACAACAAATATAAACACATACTACAATAGACAACATAATAAATGAAACTGTTGCAGAATGGGATAACCTTGTGTGTTTAAATTTCTTATAACCAAAAATATTTCTGATGTTAGCACTTGTAATTTATGTTTATTGGTTTTTGGAATCAATGTGATAACCTAAGTCTACATTGAATCTACCTGTCTCCAAATTTCTCAATAAGGTAACTCAAACAACACCTATAGCCACGTGCTAAATATGCATATTTCTTCCACCACAGATAATTATAGAGGGGTCCTATCAATAGGTTGAGCCAAAGAGATGAGAATTTATTCCTATCCACTAGAGCACCACTGCCCCCCTTCTATCTAGCACATTTGATGAAAAGTCCACCTGCAACCGTGGTTCTGTCTACTGCACCCATAAGAAAACCATCTGGTAACCCCTCAGTCCATGTTTTAGGGCAAGCAGTTTCTGTCTGGTACAATCATTGAAGAAACTGGTAAAGAACAAAGGAGAAAAAACAAATGCATAAGTTAAACCCCACATTATGGGAGATTAAAACTAGAGAAAAATGGGGCATGTAAGTTTGTACTAATAAATGCAAAATTCTAAAAACTTTTCTAAAATATAGATTCAAAATGTAAAAAGTAAATGCTATAAGAACCACAAGTAAATATGAGAGAATATTTTTATGTCTCAGGGTGGTAAATGTCTTTTTGAGCATAACTCCAAATTCAGAAGCAATAACAGGAAAGATTTACAATAAACTATTTTTAAAAAGCAAAAGCTTCTCCATGTCAAAACATACAAAAGTCAAAAACAAGCAAAGAGCAAACTGGTGAATTCTTTTTGTAGCACACATAAGGCTCAAAATGTTAATCTCCTTATTATATGAACCATCCTTATTAATCAATAAGAAAAACATTAACAACCCAGTATAACAATGGGCGAATTACATACACAGAGAACTCAGAAATAAATGACCAATAAACAAATGAAAAGATGCTCCAGATTGTTAAAAATCAATAAATAAAAAAAAAAAACCAACTATGAGTGATCAATGCTTCCCCAGGCAGGTTGAGAAAGAATTAAAAGATAAATAGTATCAAATATTGGAGAGGATATGGGGAAACAAGCACTTTTATGCCCAGTATACATTAGTATAAATTGGCCCACCTCTTCTGGTGAGCAACTATGTAATGATTCAAATATTTAAGTATGCACACTCTGACTTAAAACCACAAATTCTAGAAATTTATTATAAAGAAATAATCAACAAGTTAAAAGGATATTTACTGTAGCATTGTTTTTAAGAGTAAAAATTAGAAACATCTTAATCTCTCGATAGGGTTTGCTTTTATATATATATATATATATATAAATTGTATATACATATATATATGTACATAATTTGTAAAAAATGAATTTGAGTTATATATATGGATAACGATAAAGGACCAATCCGGCCTGCTGCCTATTTTTTGTTAATTAAGCTTAGTTGAACTCGTGCCACACCTATTCATTGACTCAATGGGTGTGGCTGCTTTTGTGCTCAAAGGTAGAAATGAGTAGTTACGATGGGGACACAAAGCCTGTAATATATATCTGGCCCTTCACAGAAAGTCCCCAACTCCTCTTCTACTGATACAGTTTACATTGTTGTTATATAGCAAAAACAAAAACTAACTATTTTTAAACAAATATATATATGATATCTCATTTTATTGCACTTTGCGTCATTGTGTTTTTTACAAATTGAAAGTTTGTGGCAATTCTGCGTTAAGGCTATTGGTGCTACTCACTTCATGTCTCTGTGTCACATTTTGGTAATTCTTGCAATATTTCGAACTTTTTGAATATTATTATATCTGTTATGGTGACATTTTCATCAGTGACCTTTGATGTTGCTATTGTAAAATGAATTTAATAAATGCTATGTGTGTTCTGACTGCTCCACCAATCGTTCCCTGACTTTCTCCCTCTCCTCAGGCCTCCCCATTCCCTGAGACACAATATTAAAATTAGGCCAATTTAATAACCCTGCAATGGCCTGTAAGTCTTCCAGTGGAAAGACGAGTTGCACATTCTCACTTTAAACCAAAACCTGAAATCAGTTAAGCTTAGTGAGGAAGGCATGTTGAAAGCCAAGATAGGCTGAAAGCCAGGCTTCTTGCTCCAAACAGTTATCCAAGATGTAAATGCAAAGAAAAAATTCTTGAAGGAAATGAAAAGTGCTACTCCAGTGAACAGATATATGACAACAAAGCAAAACAGCCTGATTGCTGATAGGGAGAAAGTTTTCGTGGTCTAGATAGAAGATCAAACCAGCCACAACATTCCCTTAAGCCAAAGCCTAATACAGAGCAAGGCCCCAACTCTCTTTAATTCTGTGAAGACTGAGAGAAGTGAGAAAGCTGCAGAAGAAAAGTTGAAAGCTAGCAGAGGTTGGCCCATGAGGTTTAAGGAAAGATGCCATCTCTATAACATAAAAGTGGAAGGTGAAGCAGTTAAGGGCTAATGCAGAAGCTGCAGCAAGTTAGCCAGAAGATCTAGCTACTAACACTGATGAAGGTGGTTTCACTAAACAACAGATTTTCAATGTAGATTTTAAAAGCCTTCTATTGGAAGAAGATGTCATCTAGAAATATTATAGCTAGAGAGAAGTCAATACCTGGCTTCAAAGCTTCAAAGGACAGTCTGACTCTCTTGTTTGGGGATAATACAGCTGGTGACTTTAAGGTGAAGTCAATGCTCATTGACCATTCTGAAAAACTGAGGGCCCTTAAGAATTACATTAAATCAGTTCAGCCTGAGTTCTATAAATGGAACAACAAAGCCTGAGTGACATCACATCTCTTTACAGAATGTTTTACTGAATAGCTTAAGCCCACTGTTGAGACCTACTGCTCAGACGAAAAGGTTCCTTTCAAAATATTATTGCTCAGTGAAAATGCACCTGATCATGCAAGAGCTCTGACAGAGATATACAAAAAGATTAATGTTGTTTCCATGCCTACTAACACAACATCTATTCTGCTGTCAAGGAATTATTTCAACTTTCAAGTCTTATTTAAGAAATACATTTCATAAGGCTATAGCTGCCATACACAGTGATTCCTCTGGTGGATCTGGGCAAATAAAATTTAAAACCTTCTGGAAAGGATTCACCATTCCAGAGGCCATCAGAAACATTCAGGATTCATAGGAGAAGGTCAAAATATCAACATCAACATGAGTTTGAAAGTCAATTCCAACACTTATGGATGACCTGAAGGGGTTGGAGACTTCAGTGGAGGAAGTAACTGCAGATGTAGTGGAAATAGAAAGAGAACTGGAATTAGAGGTAGAGCCTGAAGATGGAACTGGATTGCTGCAATCTCAAAATAACACTTGAATGAATGAGGAGTTGCTTCTTGTGGATGAGCAAAGGAAGTAGCTTCTTAAGATGGAATCTACTCTTGGGAAAGATGTTATGCACAATGTTGAAATGACATCAAAGAATTTAGAATATTCCATTAGCTTAGTTGATAAAGCAGCATCAGGGTTTGAGAGGATTTACTCCAATTTTGAAAGAAGTTCTACTGTGGGTAAAATGCTATCAAACAGCATCTCATACAACAGAAAAATCTTTTTTCTTCTTCTTCTTTTAGAGACAGAGTCTCCCTCTGTCACCCAGGCTGGAATGTAGTTACATGATCTGGGCTCACTGCAACCTCCGGCTCCTGGGTTCAAGCAATTCTCCTGCCTCAGCCTCCTGAGTAGCTGGGGTTACAGGGGCATACCGCCATGCCTGGCTAATTTTTTTTGTATTTTAGTAGATGGAGTTTCACTGTTTGCCCAGCTGGTCTTGAACTCCTGAGCTCAGGCAATCCACCTGCCTCAGCCTCCCAAAGTGCTAGGATTACAGGTGTGAGCCACCGCGCCTGGCAAAAACTCTTACATGAAAGGATGAGCCAATCAATGGAGCAAATTTAATCCTTAAAAAAAAAATGCCACAGCCATCCCAACCTTCAGCAACCACCACCAGGATTGGACAGCAGCCAGTCAACACTGAGGCAAGACCCTCTAACAGCAGAGATTACGACTCACTAAAGGCTCAGATGATTATCATTTTTTAGCAATAAGGTATTTTTCAATTAAAGCATGTACATTATTTTTTAGACATAATGCTATTACAAACTTAGTTGACTACATATAGTGTAAACATAACTTTTACATGCAATGGGAAACAAAAAAATATGTGTTACTCACTTTATTGTAATATTTCCTTTATTGCAGTGGTCTGGAACACAACCCACAATACCTTGAAGGTATGCCTGTTTGCAAATATTCTAGAAATCTTTAATAAAACATCATAAGTGAACTTACCTGAATCTGTCTTGGATGTTTAAATATTCTGAAATACCTTTGGATCACTGATCTGAACAAAAGTTTTCAACATAGATGTCACCATATGAATGCAAATGTATACTGTAGTGCAAAGATGCAGATGGTATACATGATAAAGCGGAATCTAAACTCATTTAATAAGTGAGAACATTTTATTTCATTGCATTTCCTCTACAGAAAGATTTTATATACTTTGCTTCTTTATCTTAAAAGTTAAATGGAAGAAAATTTAAAAATTTGGATTAATACATTAAGAACATGTTGTTAAATATGTATGCCAGAATGTATAATACAACATCTAATCTGAAAATGGACATACTCTTCTAGTTAATTTTCTATTCAAGCTGTTCTATTAAAATAATTATTCTTTCTTAAGTATAGTAAAATCTTAAAATGAAATTCATAGACATGTTGATATGTATGACTGAATCATCACCTAATTGAATGCAATAACTTTTTATTATAATTGACAAGATTGGAAGTACTGCAATTTTATTATAACACATTTTTATTATAATCCTTTCTGTTATAGCCAAAACAATTTCAGAATGGTCTAGTTCAGAAGTAAAAAAAGAAAAATTAATGCAACCTCATATTTTTAATCATTCAAGAGCACCTTATTTAGTCACATACAGCTAGTCCCCTCTTGCATATTTTCTCGCTTTAGGTTTTTAGAAGGAAAAAGCTGACATTTCTCTCCACGAAGTTTCTTTCCCAGTAGGCTATCACTAATGTCAACAAAAGCAGCAGGAGTTCCTCTGAAGATTTGGAAAGAGCAGTTGAATAGGCAAGAATGACCCCTGTTTGCTTAGAGTAAAATGAAGTGTTTACCTCTATATCCAACAGTTCTAGAGAATTTCCTGGAGGAAAATTATGCTTTAAATCAGTACTCTTCAAATGCTGTCCCTTAGGACACTAGAGTCCTGTGGTAGTGCTTCAGGGGCTGTTCAAAAACTTTAGTTTCTTTAAAAATATTTTAAAACTATTTTTAAATCCACAATTAAAATCAAGTATATATCTATGAGTTTTATATCACATTCTGATGCACTGGAGAACACCAAACCCCTTTGTTTGGGCTCCTCCTTCATTTTTGTGCAGACTTTAAAATAAAACTCCTCCTTCCCCCCACCAACCCTGCACATACTTGAGTATTAGAAATGTGTCATCACCTGGGAGAATTATAGTTCTGCATTGTTTTTTAAAATTTAAATCCAGATTGATGTATGTTGATTTCTGCAAAATTTAGGTAGTGCTCATTGGTCACAAGGACACTATGCATGCTAATTGGAAGTTTTCTGCATGCGCCTGTCCATTCTTTATAGTTTTCCTGCATTCTTCTGGGTATCATCTTTCATGTTGACTGCTGGAAGTTGTTAAAGCAGTGACCAAGACTTATACTGAGGCCTTAAGTTGTTCATAGGTCTCCATCCGAGCTCTGAGCTCCAAACAAGATGCTCAGGTGAGCAACAGTCATTTGAGCAGTAATAAATTCATCACATACTACATTGTCACATAGGTAGCTTGGTATGAATTAGGAATTCTGAGCACCTTCAGTCATACATTTATATTCAGAATAGTAATGTCAATCACTTTTGTAATGATTTAACTGAATAAAAAATTGTCTTCTAATCTTGTTTCAAGTTCCTAGATTAGTTTAATTGAAGAGCAAACAGAGGGGACAAGGTAAGCAGCTAAAAATTACCATTTGCAAATACTTATTTGTATGAAATAGAATTTTCTCAATATTGTTCAATCTTCCCAAAATCTTTCCTGATCTATTCCCCTCCTGGCCCCCAGTGAAGTTAGACACCTTTTCCTAAACCTATTTTTCTGAATTCTGAACATATTTTCACTATGATAAAAGGAATGTGGCCTTTGGAATGACATCAACCTCCCTAATCCCCACTACCTGGCCTTAAGACTTTGGTTAATTATTTATCTTTTCAGAACCTCAGTTTCCCTAACAGCAAACCAATGCAGTTGTGAAAATGGAATGAGATTATTATATAAGTAGTGTAGCACAAAAAATGTTATCTTTCTTTTTCTTTTATGAAATACATAAAATTTTCTATGCTTTTGGAGAATCTTTTCTCTGCCCTGTTAAATTATAAGCTCCTTGATAACAAAGAGTATTCACCCATGTACCAGTTTTCAAAAAGTAGGCACCCAATGTTATTTATTGAAATAAAATAGAATAAGTGGATTATGGTAATAAAAGTCAATGTGATTAATTAATTAATTTACTTAATTTTGAGACAGAGTCTCACTCTGTTGTCTAGGCTGGAGTGCAGTGGCTGGATCAATGCTTACTGCAGCCTCAACCTCCAGGGCTCAAGCAATCGTCTCACTTCAGCCTCCCAAGTATCTGAAACTACAGACGCATGCCACCATGCTCCGCTTTTTTTTTTTTCTCCTGCAGAGATGAGGTTTCACCATATTGCCCAGGCTGGTCTTGAATTCCTGAGTTCAAGCAATCCTCCAGCTTCCACCTCACAAAGTTCTGGGATTACAGGCATAAGACACCACACCGAGCATGGTAGTTTAATAGGTACGTTTCTTGAATAATAAAGTAACCCTCATAGTCTGCATTGTAGTTTTCTTCCCAAAAATTGAAAATAAAACAATTTGGACTTCTCACACTTCATAACACATATAGGAAAGGGTGATAAATAATAATAGACTATAACTCTTAGGGAGAATATTCAATTTTTACATATCAGCAACTCTCATTTCATAGGAATAATAATCAGGATTTGCCATAAAATATTGACTGGGTACAATGGCTCATGCCTGTAATCCCAGAGCTTTCTAAAAGCTGAGGCAGGAGGATCGCTTGAGGCCAAGTGTTGAGATCAGCCTGGGCAACATAATGAGACCTCATCTCTATAAAAAAAAAAAAAATTTAATTAGCTGGGCAAGGTAGGAAAATCATTGAGCCCAGGAATTTGAGGCTATGATTGTGCTGCTGCATTCCAGTCTGGGAGACAGAGCAAGACGTTGTCTCAGAAAAAAAAAAGAAAAGAAAAGAAATTTTACAAGGCAATAAGTGCTTGGAAGAACTATAACAAAAACCTCACTTGGTTTTTGTTATAAAACAAAAACTAGATTTATAAATGTTTTTATAAATAAAACAGTCAGTATTCTCTCCTTAATAGCACTTTGTATTAAAATATAAATAAAAGTAGTATTTTATTTTCTCTCAAACTAGAAAACCATTGCAGGATTGTGAGAATTCCTGGTGGATTAAAACTGGTGTGTGAATAAAAAACAAAAGTAAACTTAGTGTCTAATATTTCTTTGTTCATTGTACTATTTTCCCAATATTGCAAGTTTAAAATTTTTGAAGAATATTAAAAAAGGTAAAAAAGTAACACTTATGATAGGTACCTCAACTACAGTTACATATATTATTTAATTCAGTTTTAAAAACGGAAAATGAGGAAATAAATTATTTTAAGGTCTTACAGTTTATTTCAAACTCAGAGCAGACATAAAACACAGGTCATACGAATGTGAAACACCTAGTTCCCTGACTGTTCAAAGTTAAGTTGGGAAACTTCTACAGCAGAGAGCCATTGCTCAGTAGGCTACACTGATCCCCAGGCTTGTGAGAGACATAAAATGTTGATAAGAGTCAAGACATGATAATACCAGTACCTTTTAGGAAAAGTTGTGTTTACTGAAGCCTGTAATGAAGGAGAAAATAAATGGCACTTAAAACATCCCCCTGCCCTCCAGAAGTTTATATGTTAAAGAACAATTGCATAAGAACGTTTCTATTATTTTTATCAACAATCTTTTCATGTTCTTTTAATTAAACTAAATAATCATAATCATTTGGGGAAGTATTCGTGGGAAACAGCATTAAAAAATGAAAAAAAATGATTCTGATACATGAGTTCCCTTTGTACTGAACAACTGAACAGGAGTGGGTTGGAAGCAAACTGAAAATAGGACAAGAAGGTGTTAAGTTCTGGATGGTGCTAGAAATTCATGTAGAGCAGCTCTAAAGAGAGTGGTGGAGCCCAAGGTACCTGCCCCACTTCAAGTGTTCTTAGCTTCTTCCTCATTTTAAAAGTTCAAAACACATTAGGTCATATGTGAAATGTGGCTGGTTTTGCACAATATAAGGTCTTGTGCCCATGTACCATAATACATTAAAAGTTGAAGTTCAAGATAAAATAAATAAATAAATAAATAAATAAATTTCAAAATAAATATCTTGAAATTTATTCAAGATAAAATAATAAATAAATAAATAAATAAATAAATAAATATTCCCGTGAAGAATATGGGAAAAATAGTGACTTTAAAAAAAACACAACTAACATCATGGCCATAATATCATCACTATAGCATTTTCACAGTTTTTGAGCACAAATGATTAACTTAAACACACAGAATTGTAAAAACTGGAGATATATGTATATGTATAAATACACTTATATATTTTATATTATATATATTTTTATTACATATGTATGTGTATATGTGCATATATATACATGTATGTGTATATACTTATAATTCTCATCATACAAACACACACACACACAGACCCCTACGCACCTATGTACCTGGAATCTTTCACCATTCTGGTTGTATTGGTAAGGATGGACATAGAGAGGTTAGAGAGAGAAAAGAGGAAAGAAAGAGAATTGAAACATACTGTAAATAAATAGTCTTGTTTATAGCAATTCCTTAACATTTGTTTTACAACAGTTGTTTTCATGTTCAGCCCACACCAGCTGTTCCCCAAACACAAGAGTTTTCAAAACTAATATGCTTTGCACCAACAATTCTCCATAAAATGTTTAATTCATTGTAATCTTTGTCTTATTACTGCTCTTGTTCTAACTACATCCAGCCCATCCCAAATCTCAATAGATATTTTTGGGAAGTAGACATTTTTGGAATGGAAAAAATGGTTTACATATTTCAAAACTATAAGGTGGCTGATAGACAAGATTTGTTTAAAAAGTATGTATGTATGAGGACTGTGTTTGGTTTTTAAATGTCATTGTGAATGTTGAGCTAGATACATTATTAATAAATGTCATCTTTTCAAGTGAGTTCAGTATTAATATTGATACAGACTTTCTTCCTGTTCTTAATTTTGCATCTCAATAAAGATATGAATGTTGGCAAGCACTGCTATTGACAATTGATAAAATTATGCAAACACAATGTTTTTGCAGCCTTTGAGTAAATACTGCATGCTAATGAATTTCAGAGTGTTTTCTGTGTTCCTGTAGGAGCTGAATTTGTGTAGGTGGACTGCACCATAGATGTGCTTTTCTAAGCCTATTACACTTATCTCAGCAGAGCTGTTGTTTGCCTCCTAATAAGCACTTTGATAATTTTATCATGAGCTCTGAGGCCCTCCAAAGATCATTTATATAATGACATCTTGTGGAAGCAAGCCTCTCTAGAACTTTCTGAAGGTAATAATTATTTCATATATTTGTTCTGTAGTCACAGTGGTGTTTTCAAAAAGCTTCCTGCTAATTTTCAGTCTATACTTGATGCCACAGGATTGTTCTTCAGTTGTAATAAAATAGTTTGGACCATAAAGGGGCATGCATTTTGAATTAGGTTTTAAGATATCCAACTCTCAAAGGAAAACATTTACCTAGCTAATGATTCTTTTATATTCCTGTCCTTAGAGTTTAAGAGATAATTCAGGGAATTAGTATATCAATGCACAGAACAAAATCTAAATAAAGGGGAGGTAGAAAAAAGTTAAGAGTAGCTTATAAATACCCAATTGAGGTCTTTCTATGTGTACACATGAAATCTAGAATGATTTCTTGTCTTAAAGAAATGCATCAATCTATATTACTTGAACGTTCACAAAATTTAAGAATTATGCCCTAGTGAGGGATATTCTGAAGAAAAAAAAATCTAAAAGAAGAAAAAGGAAACTTTGAATACATTCATAGCATTATTAATTAGCTTAGTAGTATTATTAATTAGTTTACTCTTAAAAACAGTAATCTTACTCTGATAAGTTTGCCTCAAGATAAAATATAATTGTTATACATAAAGATTCTTCATAAGAAAAGCCAATTAAAATTAGACTTTTAAAATTTATTTTTATTTTTTATTTTATTTCTTCTGGAGACAGGGTCTCGCTCTGTTGCCCAGGCTGGACTCGAACCCCTGGGTTCAAGTGATCCTCCTGCCTCAGCCTCCTGAGTGGTTGAGACTGTAGGCACACACCACCACATTTGGTTCCAAGAGTTATACTTTATTTTATTTATTTGAGACAGAGCTTCACTCTGTCGCCCAGGCTGGAGTGCAGTGATGCGATCTCGGCTTACTGCAACCACTGCCCCCTGGGTTCCAGCGATTCTCCTGGCTCAGCCTCCCAAGTAGCTGCGATTATGGGCACACGCCACCTCGCCCAGATAATTTTTGTATTTTTAGTAGAGATGGGGTTTCACCATGTTGGCCAGGCTGGTCTCGAACTCCTGACCTCAAGTGATCCTCCCGCCTTGGCTTGCCAAGTGCTGGGATTACAGGCATGAGCCACCACGCCCAGGCAGAGAGTTATATTTTAAAGCAAAATTAGGAGACTACCATATCAGTGGTCTCTAATCTTTATGAGTGAGAAAACATTTGTGCACCTCCAATATATTTATATGTAATATATATGAAATATACATATACACTACTATTCAAAAATATTATGTATGTTAGAACGCATAAATAAAAGAGGAAAGTTAAAAGACTAAGATAAAAATAAACATAGATATTTGCCTTGTCACTCTCTGAGGAGTACACTCTGCTTTGGAGAACACTGCTCCATAATATTAGCAAACACCCATTGTGCCGGGTTGCATCCTAAGAATTCTAGATATATTAACTCATTTAATCCTCATAACAACCCTAAAGGGGGACATGATTATTATGCTCATTTTACAAATGAAGGAGTTGAAGGTTGGAGATATTCAGTGATTTGCTTAAGATCACACAACTAGGAAGTGGCACAGCTGGGATAAAAACCCAGAAAGTATAACACAGAGTCAGGGCACTCAAGCTCCATGTTGCACAGAGAAATGCAATTGACTAGCCACACTCTACACCCCACTCATAACCTCTCAACCCTTTGCTCATCTCACTTCGGAACCTCCTGGACCTGTTACCTTTTACTAAATTACACTAAAGACCAATAAAATATCTCTTTAAAATTGAAAATAAGTTATGAAAAGACAGGAGATTACAGGTGCTTTTTGTAATAGAAGAGTATATCCTTTTGTTTACCCTGCATCTCCCCAAATGTTCTCGAACTGTCCCTCCCATTGATCTCTTTAGCAGACATCAATAATGCTACAAAAGATCTTCTACTGAGAAGGAGGAAATATTTGACCCATGCAGCTTTTTCTGTATTCATTAATTAGAGGATTTCCATTTTCAGAATAGTAAAGGAGGCAGTGTAATTATTTTCTTTGAACTGTGTTTTGGGGTCTAGTATAAATCCTTAGTTTCATTACTTAAAATAAAGAAAAAACAGGACTTCTTAATATAAATCTTTAGTTTCATTACTTAAATAAAAAAAGAGGACTTCTTAATTGTTTATAGGTGACATTGTAAGACACAACCCCCAAAAAGTAAAATTATTTTGAATATGGTGTCTCCTATAATCCGACAATGGTCTAAGCAGTATTTTTATTAGTAATTCTTATTTCATAAACAGATATATGACTAATTGGTCACACTTATTAATGAAAGTATAAATGAGGCTACTTAGGGATATCTTAATGGACAATATAAAACAAGTCATAGCCCATTAGAACAAACAATCACAAGTCATAATCACAGAGTTAAAATACAGTTAGGGAAAATCTATCATTGATTCAGATTGTGATTGGCACCTATAGGTGCTCAATAAATAATTAGAGCTGGCACCAAGGTTACATAAAAAGTTAGATGATCCCGATACTCCATCCTAGGATGTAACTATCATTAATAACATTTCTTTTTTAGGAAAAATGGATTACCAGATTCTAATTTGGATTCCAATCAAGGTAACACTGGTGTTCCATGATATCTCTGAAGAAAGTGATGGCCGCTCAGCAAGAAGAAACTCAGTCTCCAATCCCAGTTTTCCACAGCCCCATCCTCCCAATGACAGCAGCTAGCAGCTGAAAATAGGAAAAATCTTCCCAAGACCCCCACAGCCAAATTTTGGAAGAGAGATAATTTGGAATCTTTCCCTAAAAAGAAATTTAGGAATTTTTTTGCTATCTTAAGGGAAGGATCTCTGTTCCTGGCATACCATGGCCTTGCTATTCCCAGGCAAGATGATCCAGGATTAGTGTATAATGACTGTTTGCTATTTTCTGTATTATGAATTTTTAAATAACATTTTCCTAGCAGGAAAGACATGTCGTTAAAGGACGAACTCCTATAAAAAAGAGTTACTGCATTTACCTTGAAGCTTGACAGCTATGCATTTATTTCAAGTAGAACACTTTCAAAGAGAAAAATTTCTAGTTACTTATTCAGAACAGCTATTCTATCAATGCTTTTCTCTTCCCTTCTTGAATCAATGCTTTTCATTATTACTGTGACCATGATTAAAACTGAGGAGTAATAAACTGCATATATTTAAATTAATTAGAGTCTTCAAAGGTTTTCCTCTACCTCTTCTTTTCCATCTCATTTCTCTATGCAAGTTTTATTTTTACTCAGATATAGTTACCAAATGCTTTCATTTAATAATTATATGTGTCTGGGACTTCTTTCAAGCTATACCTATACTTGAAAATGTACCTGTCTCTAACCTCTGGTATCTTATTTTTTAAAACACTCCTGCTGTTTCACCTTTACCTGGGATCCTTCCCTAGCTTCAGGACAGAAAGCAAATATCTACTGGTTTCACATAACAAAAACTAATTGTTCCTAAATATCAGTCCTTAGATAACTGCTGTTATAGAGTTTGTACCATCTATAACAAAATGATGGCACAAAATATAAGGTGTACACACATAACACACACACACACACACACACACACACATACACACACACACATTCACACAAACCCCTCTACTGGTATAAAGGTCCCAACTGAAACTAGTTTTTTTGGGGAAAGTTTAGCATTTATTCTGAAATTATGTTATTAAACTTTTAAAATTTTAAAATATCCTGTTTCTTAGATAATAATGGCAATAGTAAATGAAAGTTTCTTCTTAAAAAATTTGAGTATTTGTGAAAATAAAATTTAGCCTGAAAATTTGTTTATAAGCAGAGCTTCATTATATTTGATGGTTAAAATTCTGTGGAGAACTTTCTCTAGTCTTTGAAATTCAAAGGTCTGGAAGCCACTGCTCTAAACAACTGACCTGACCCTTCTTTGTTAACCTGCTTGTGATGTAGCCCCTTCATACCTGTTTCTTCATGTTATTTAATTAGACTTACAGGATGTCATCCCATCAACTCCATTTCCTTCATAAGTCATTCTACAGGAGTACAAAAATGAAAATGGACTTATTTGTCTTAGTCTCTACAATGCCTAAACTGTATCAGGTATAGACAGATGTCTATGTACTGTCTAATGCTGGTACTAGCACATCTTGCTTTTATTTCAAAATACTTTAGGAAAATCATTTGATTTGATGGAATCATCTCTTTTAATCAATGCATTTCTAAGAAGCAGTAAGGAAACAATATGGGCAACGCTCTGTGCTAAAGCCAAAATTAAGTTGCTAACCAATTAGCAATAATTCAGAAGATGATATGTAAGGGGGTGAACATTTTCTTCATTAATAAACAGTAACGTATTCTCAAGGATTATGGCTAACTACTTCATGGTTTTATTGAAAACCTAGACAAGGCACCTCTGAAGAGCTAAGCACCTGCTAGATTCATTTAATTTGACTTTGGGTTGGATGCCAAGAATCCTGAATTCCACTTCTATTCCCATCACTAAGCAGTTGTGTGACCTTGGATGAGTTACCTCACCACCCTGAATCTTAATTTTCTTGTTCTTAAAAGACAAGGCATGTTAGATGATTTCTAAAATCCTTTGCCTGAGATCCTGCTTTCAATGAACCCGGAAGAGAGCAAACATTGTTATTCTGCTTTTCTACCTAGAAATAATATCCCCAAAACAACAACAAAAAAAACAACTCCAGATTCTCCAAGTTTATTTGAATAGAAAGAGCTGAGATGTAGAATTATGGTATCAACAATTCCAAATCCTGGTATCACAGTCTCCTGGAATGACCCTAATTATCTCATTGGTATAAGAATAAATGTTGAAGAAGTTATCAGAGTAAACTAAAATTTAAATCTCTTTATGAAAATGATGACATATAGTAATTTAAGGAGAAGGATTTTTGCAAGATGAAATAAAAGATTGGATGCTGGAACTTTTCAATGCGTTGGAATCACAGTGATTAGACAACTCCTGTAAAAGCAGAACAGTACTACAGTTATGAATATAGTCCCTGGTGACTTACTGCTTGACTCATCCAAAATCATGCCCTTCCCACTCCAGTTAAAATGTTATCTCCCATCAAAATATGACATCTGAAAACAACATGCCAGTAACTCTAGGCCTTAGGGAACTGCAATGAATATCATTCAAATTAATTCTGACTGACATTTTGGTAAATCACCTCTTGAAGTCAGGAAGGGAACATTTTTAAAGCACTTGAGGAGTGCCAAAATAGAAAGGAGTAAAACCACATTCATCATGCAGGAGGTGAAGTGCCAGGCAAGTCTGAAGCCAAAAAAATGGCAGCCACATCATTTCAATTGAATGAGTGATGAGTCTTCATCAACAAGCGTGTATTGACTCCTGCTATGTAAATGGTATAACAGGTGATCTATATATGGAAAGAGAAATATTTATGTGTACTCATTTATATTTTAGAAAGGCAGTTCAACAATTAAAAGCAAGATTTTGGAATCAGCAAGAATCTCTTCAAACATGGGCTCTGTCACTTACCAGCTGCTGGGCTTTAAGAGAGTGAATTTCCCTAAGATTCAGTTTTCTGAACTGTAAAATACAGATGATAGAAATACATATTCATATGATTGATGGCAGGACTAAATAAAATGATGCCTGTATAGCGCTCAGCACAGCTCAGCATAAATTAATAAATTAATAAAAGTTAGCTGTTGTTTCTATTATATATGTTAAATTAAACCCATTATAAATAGGATTAATTATAAAATAATGACCTAGAATTCTAATTACAATTCTATTTATAAATACTAACCCTTCCAGTGTGAGGAAACTAGTATTTATTTTAGTGATTTATTTTATAGTAATACTATGCAAGTCACCATGCTGGATGCTTTACATACATATATACATATATATATGTATTTCAAGATATATATATATATATACACATATATACATACACACACATATATATGTGTAATTTAATTCTCTTGACACAAAGAAACTAAAGTTGAGAGAGTTTGAACAATTTGCCCAAAGGTGATACAGCTAACAGTTGTTAGAGTTAGGATTTGTCTTTAGGTCTTTCCTCAAAGCCATAAGCCTAATACTAAACTTGAATTAGGGATATCAAAACTATTACTGAGTCTACTTCCCTCTCAAATTCATTCCCTTCCTCATCCTTCCTGCAGACACTGCTCTAGTTTGGAGATATCTTCATCCCTCATCACCTTAACTGTTATGATAATGACCTAACTGGGCTCATCTCCAGGATTTCCTTGCCCCAATCCATTCTTACTTCCAGCTGGAAGAATAAACTTCTTGCAGTTCGCCTCATGTGTGCTCCTAGTCCTCAATGATTCCCATTACTGACAGAATTAAGTACAATACATCAGGCTTTCCATCGGTATTCTCAATAGCCAGGTGTTGATCCTTCCTTTTGTTCTTATTTCCCAGTTTAGGGCATTTTGGACACTCTAGTTGACCTGGATTGCCCAAGATTTCCTGGATAATATCCACTACCTTAGACAACCTAGACAGTGACCTGCTTTGCTGCCTTCAACAACAACTCCCTGTTCACCCTCCCCCTGCCAGCCTCCCCAACCTAGCCCCATCAATACATTACCCATACTCTGGGGTCTCTGCTCAATATTGCTTCATTAATAAAATCTTTTCTGATCTTTCATGACTGTTTGTGATCACCCTCTCCTTGCAATATCCACAGCTCTTTATTTTTGCCTCGACCGTGGTACTTTTCACTTTTTGATATATACTTAGACTATCATTTTCTTGAAAGTAGAAATTGAGTCTTATTTATTAAGCATGCCAATGAACTGAATATAGTAATAGTTATAGAGAACACTTACATATGACTTAGGTCCAGGCATTTTTCTAAGATCTCCTACACATATCAACTCAACCTAAACAACAAAAATATGAGACAGATGTGGTAGGCAGCCTCTAAAATAATCTACTGTGATCCCTGCCTCTTGGTATTCACGTCTGTCTGCAATCATCTCTTCTTGAGTGAGGACTGAACACAATGGCTTATGATATGGCAAAATAAATGAGATACCACTTTAGAGGTTCAAAGAGACTGTGAGCACAGGTGCAGTGACTCATGCCTGTAATTCCAGCCCTTTGGGAGGCTGAGGTGGGAGGATTGTTTGAACTCCTGAGTTCAAGATCAGCCTGGGCAATATAGCAAGACCCTGTCTCTACAAAAATTTTTTAAAATTAGCTGCGTGTGGTGGTGCACACCTGTAGTCCCAGCTACTTGGGAGGCTGACATGGGAGAATCGCTTGAGCCCAGGAGTTTGAGGCTGCAATCAGCTATGATTGCACCACTGCACTCCAGGCTGGGCAACAGAATGAGACCCTGTATCAAAAAAGAACAAAACAAAAACACAAAGAGACTTTGGCTTCCATCTTGTGGCTTCTCTTTGTTTGTTTGCTTGAGGGAAGATAGCTGCCATGTTGTGAGCCATGTTAGGGAGAGAATGGAGAGGACCACGTAGCAAGGAATTTAGAGAGTCTTCTGACCAACAGCCAGAGAAGACCCGAGGTTGCCATTCAATCGTCCACAAAGAGCTGAATCCTGCTAAAAAGTGTGAGCTTGGAAGCAGATTCTCACTCGGTCAAGCCTTCAGCGGAAACCATAGCCCTTGCTGACACCCTGAGTGCAGCCTTATAAGAGACCTGGCAACAGAAGCACCCAGCTAAGCTACACTTGGATTCCTGACTCACAGTTTTGTAGTAATTTGTTATGCAGCAATATACAATACAGCAAATTTTATTAATATTCCTACTTTTCAGATGAGAACATTTAGGGTTATGAACCTAGTAAGTGACAGGAGCAGGATTAAAACCAGGATAGTTTAGTTCCAGAGTCCATACTCTTTATTTATTTATTTATTTATTTGAGATGGAGTCTTGCTCTGCTGCCCAGGCTGGAGTGCAGTGGTGTGATCTCGGCTCACTGCAACCTCTGCCTCTTGGGTTCAAGCGAGTCTCCTCAGCCTCCTGAGTAGCTGGGACTACAGATGTGTGCCACCACGCCCGGCTAATTTTTTTTTTTTTTTTTTTTTTTTGTATTTTTAGTAGAGACAGTGTTTCACTGTGTTAGCCAGATGGTCTCGATCTCCTGACCTCGTGATCCGCCCGCCTCGGCCTCCCAAAGTGCTGGGATTACAGGCGCAAACCACCGCGCCCGGCCGAGCCATTACTCTTAATCACAAAGCTAGGCTGCCTCACTAATAAATCAAAGTTCTTTCCCTAAAGTGGACCATTGATTATAATATAGCCTAATAATGAAGAGTTGGCTGCAAAAGGCTTTGGAGTATCCTAATTCACAATTGTACTAATGGGTTGGTTTGTGTTGATATGAGACAGGCTTGTATTAAATACATGTATTTCAATGTGTTTATGTCTAACTTTCTAGGTAAAACTTGAGTCACCTGTGTAGCTTTTCTGAGATGTATGTAAATGTACACGAAGAAACTCTGTTTATCTCAATTTAAATTTAGAGCTTAAAACAGTTGGCACTAGGTATGATGAGGCTAAAAGAGGCTTTAGAATCTCACTAATCCGGATTTGTGCCTATGCACTATTAGTTGTGGCCCACTTCTGACAATTTCTGCCTGTGCAATATTAGTCAAGGTGCATAACCTCTCTGAGCCATGGCTCCCATTGATGTAAAATGGGAACACTAACAGTATCTACCTCATAAAGGTATAGGTTTTGATTCTGATGTAATTAAATTGCTTAAGACAGTACCTGGTTGTTTTCTCTTTAAAGTCTTGCTGAAATCCTATATCTTTAATAAACTCTTTGTTGACCACAGAAGTCAAAAATGGCCGATTCCTCTTCTGAATTTCTCTAGCATTTATCTGTCCTATTCATGTGACACATAATGATTACATTATCTGTTGTAAGGCTAGAAAATATCTTAATATCTTTATAATATTCAGTAAAATTATTCATTCAAAAATTTTTAATTGAACACCTGGTACAAGACCTGTGCCTTAGTAATGAGGGAGTCCCTAATGCAGTGTTCTGAATAAAGAAAATGACCAGTAAATAGTTATTGGAATTATAAATATTTAATATTATATTATTGCACCATCATAGGAAAAAATTATCAAGTCTCTTCTGATGCATTTTGAAAATAATTGTCCTGGTACTGGAGAAGTAGAGGGATGGCTGCACTGACTTCCTGAGTCTGTGTCTCAGTGCAGTGCAGGGTCTGTATTGAATGCAGCAGTGATGTCACCCTCATCTACATTCATCTCTGCAGCATATGAGGGAAGTTTGGAGCTACAATTTCCACAAGCCCCTGGCCTTTAGATTTGGCCTGTGGGAGGCACTCCCGCAGACTAAAGCTCATCTCCCAGTGGCAATGGCAGGCAGGAAGTTTAGATTACCTGAGGTGTGGCCTGCTTTTGACTTCTGAGGATTTCTACTAAGAATCACCCACTACGTGCTACACGCAGCTGAGGTCGCTGGCTGCAGCTTCCCTGCAAACCCTGTATCACTGAATCTCCTGGCATACTTTCTGAAAGGCCTCCTGACTTCACCCTCTCAGAATTTCCAAAAGTTGCATAATCCCTTAGTTCCATATTCAGTAATTACTAATTTCTAACCAAAATACTTTGATGGCTTTTGCTTTCCTGATTGAACTCAGACTGATATGCCAGGATACGGTTTGGTGATTCAACGGTAACAATAGTGTCATTCATTAAACACAAAATTATTCCCCAATAGAGAATTCTTCTTATTTTTCCCTGGGAGAAAGGACACTTACAGCAATTACGAAAGCTGTAAGTGCCCTTCTAATATCAGTGAATTATGTTACTATACCTACTTTTAATGAATTTATTATTTATGATTTACAGTAGTCCCTGAAATTCTTACTTGTTTTATGAATAAAAGCTATGGAAGAGTTGAACATCATAGCAAAATATAATGATACAGATTATAATGAAAATATATATTTATCCCTAATGTCACAGCCTGTGGCTCAGGCTCCAGAGCTAGATTGCATGAGTTCAATTTCTAGCTCTTTCACTTACTTGACCACTGTACCTATTTCCTCCTCTGTAAAATGAGAATTAAACCTTGCAGATTAGTTGAATGGAATAAATGAGTTAATATATGAAAAGTGCTTAAAACAGTATCTGGCACTATAATAAACACTAAATATGTGGTTACTATTATTAACCATGCATAACTGTAAACATGTATAATTATAATAAAAATAACCTGAACTATTAGCTTTATTATCATTATTATGATTAGTCACAACAGAAGGGAAGATGGCCAGGATCCTGAATCCCCAAATCCTCACCTAAATGCCATCTGCTGCCATCAATTCCTGACACACATGGCACAAGGGAACTCCAAGCAAGTGCACATTTATAACAGTCTCTTATCCTGGCAAACTTGGCAGTGCCCATCAGAGGTTTCTTTTTTATCCTCTCCCATAAGCCTAGACTAGAGCAAGAAAACCACCTCCGTTCCATAGGACTTAACTTAGAGCTAAGGCTTAAAAGATATATATGCTTAACATTTATTTACCTTGTATTATATGCCAGACAATATGCTAAATATTCTACATGCATCAAAGCCTCATGACACCTTGGAGATAGATATTATTATTACCTACCACCTCAATTAAAAAAAAAAGATATAAACCTAAGCACAGGAAAGATTGGCATCTTGCCCAAGGGCACATAGCTGGTAAGAGATAATGCTATCTACATTCAGAAAGTTGGACTCAAGAGCCCTTGCTGTTAACCACCACACACATGCTCGGGTGGTTACATTGCCTGATGCCCTGATTTCCACAACTAGTGGAGGACAAGCATTTTTTAAAATCAGTGAAATTATTTAAATCTCTAAACTCTTTCTTTGTCCTCAGAAAATTGCATTCTGTAACTCAGTTTGTCTATTATGCATTTTTTTTTTTACTTAAGGGGAAGAAAAGGTTATGTATTTTAAAAAAGGTGAGGAAGCCATTGGAGGATGCTATAAATTTATTCTGTCAGGCAGGCCGAGTTGTGTGACAGTCAAAGACATGACTTGATGCGGAGATGTGAAGTGTGACTTTTTTGACTGTCACACTGGATGAGATGGATGGATTTTGGAACACATCCCAGGAAGCTGAGATACTCATGTGGTCAAGTGTTGGGCTCCCTGATCAAATCTGACTTGCTGTCTCCGAAGTCGTTGGATTTTGCCAGCCCTCCAGATGCTGCATTGTATCTTTGCAAACACAGTTGGTCTGACACCATCTGCAAGACCCTGCATTGGGCCTAGCACTATGAGCCATTGTTTCCTGAGGAATTAATGGACATTCTCACATTCTACCTGTGTTAATTGAGTTACTTTCACACATGATAATGTGTTGGTTACCCAAGGCCTAGTTCTCACTTACACGCTCTGCACTAGATATGCATATAAATGGGAGAAATCCTGGAAGTTGCTGCCAAAATCCAGATAGCTTGCTATTCAGCAAATGATAACAGCTAGTGTTTGAAGAAATTATGTTTCCCGAAATAAATGTGCAGTATTCATATTTTAAGGAGCAAACTGGTGAGAGATCACCTGGGCGCATACTCTAGAAAGGATCTGATCCTGAATGAGACACTTGATTTATCCATATTTCAATTCTTTGCTGTGATTTACACTGGGAAAATGATATTTTTCCATGTTCTAGAGCTATTTCACTCTAACATCATCATGGAGCAAAATGCAGGAAAATAAGCATGATTCTGGGCTCCCATCCAAAGGCGTTTAGTTAATGAATTATCCAAGGTACTTAGTTTTAAGGAAATTCCACTTACCTGCTGCAGTAGGTGTCCTCTGATCAGAAGCAAATGGGAATAATAGTTGTCCAATTAACCCCCCCAAAACAGTTAAAGTGTGATATAGTTAAAAGAATGTTCATCCTAAGCATTTCATTTCAACTTAAAATATATGACTGTGCTTCAGTTCAGCAATAAAACAAATACTTTTCATTTCTGTGTGGACCTTTTCACTGAATATGGGCCTGTCTGCTGATTGGCATTTCCCTTCATCTTTCTTGCATAAACTACATCCATAATGCATTCTCTAGTGAGTTCTAGTTTGGGTTTCTTCAACTTACAGAGACTTACACAGAAATCTGGGAGAAGTAACCATACATGTTTTCAGAAATTTAGTTGTCACAGAAACAAAACCTTTTTTACATTAATATTTCATGGATGTAAAATGTAATTAAAATCATAAGTAATTTTGTGTGATTAAAATAACAAGTAAAAATAGTATACATGGGTGGTTTATGCTATGGTTTAGATATGTTTTGTTTGACCCTTCCAAGTTTCATGTTGAATTGATCCCCAGTATTGGAGGTGGGACCTGGGGGAGGTGTTTGCATCATGGGTGTGGGACATTTAATCATAAATGGCCTGATGCCATTCTCACCGGAGGGAATGAGTGAGCTCTCACTCTTCTTAGTTCCTGGGAGAACCGGTTGTTAAAAAGAGCCTGGCACCTTTTCTCTCACTTGCCTCCTCATTCTGCATGCACACACTGGCTCCCCTACCCCTTCCACTATGAGTGGAAGCAGCTTGAAGCCCCACAGGAAGCAGATGCTGGCATCCATCACACTTCTTGTATGACCTGCAGAACCATGAGCCAAATAAACCTTTTCTTATAAATTACCCAGGCACACAAACAGACTAAGACAATGGGCTTGGGGACAAACACAACTAACTCTTGATAAGCGTGCAACTTTTCTCATAGGAACAGAAGTGTGTGGGATCCCTAGCAAGTAGCCTACTGGCCACCTGCACTCCATGTGCTATGGTCATCTGTCAGCATATTTTATGAAAGGAACAGAAAGAGATGATTAATCCAGCAACTTGATTGTGTATTTCTACATACTCACTCTGACTATATGTAAACATGACCTACTATGAAGTCCTAAATTATGTAGAATTTGATTATCTGGCACTTTCCCTTACCATAACTGAATAATGGAAAAAAAATGTCTATTTTGTCTTAACCTCAAAGATTCAAAACATAGTTGGAAATATACATTTTTAAAAATGTTGAATTGTCCAAACTATTTACATTACACACTAGGGTAGGTTTTAGCATCTGAAGAATTGCTAGCTATCCAAAATATATCTTTTATATGTCCAAGATTGTTATATGTAGTCCCTAGAATCATATTTCTATCCTCTCTTCAGGCCTTGAGAATAAATAACATTTTCTATTTTTACTTGTTATCCTAGTAGGTTGAAGACAACAAATATATCTTAACTTTTAAAAGATGTCTAACTGTAGTATTTTCCTTTTGATTACAGAATTTGTACAAGACACACTCGATATTTCAGGGAGACAAAAAGCTCACCTATCCAAATAAAACCTCTCAGGTAATTTACGTGTTCACATAAGCCCATCAGAATTACAGGACATGGTCTTTTCACTAATACTTAACTCAAAATCAGATAAACCCCATGGATAGAGATGAGGAATTTAATCCATTCATAGATATTTTCTGAGGGCTTTCCATGTGGAAGGAAGAGTGTTTGAGATATGGGAGCGTTAGCTAATATCACACATTTCCTGAAAATCCTAGAGGCAGTCATTTTAGTTAGAGTTGCCCATCTCATTGATAAAGAATGACCACACACATTTAAAACCTTCATTTGAAAACTTGAAAATGGGACCCTGAGGCTATCATTTTGAGTACTTCTCTACAGATTACAAAAGAGCTAACAGTTCGAAAGTCTCCAGGAATTGTGGGAATTTTTTAAATTTGTTTGGGGATGACATGGCTATCAAAAGTTTCCCTACTTCATTCTCCATGTTTTTGTGATCAAGAAATATTTTATAGAGATATTTTGCATAACACCTTGATATAGAATGCAAGTTGATAAAAAATTCAACGAAAGAGATAAGAAATTATACTTTAACATAAAATTTCTACGTGACATGCTATTTATCTGTTTAATACTTCGTGCTGTGCACAACATAAAATCAGTTTGTCATAACCTTAAAGCATTCTTTTCTGGTTCTGAAAACTCCAGAATAAACTGCCATTCTTTGACTTTCTCAAGCATAAAATGAAAACTGATTTTTTTCTTTGAAAAAATGAATTACCCTAGCTTGACAGAGGGTAATTAGCATACCCAATGCAAGTTAAGAGAATGGGTTGACAAGCACAAAGAAGACTAAGAAAACATGGGCACATTTTGCATGTGTTTTAATACATAAATGATTAAAAACATAACTATATATGTTAATTGCCACCAACTGCAACACAACCCTATTGGAAGACAATATTAAGTCACGGAAAATAGTACATCTTTCATTATTTGTCTATTCCATAAACAAGTTTAATTGGAATCTAAAAACAGCAAGGGACAAAAGCTCAGTTCATTAGGGACCAACTAACTGTAAAGGGCAGATAAAAACCTTTTGTCTAATACAGATGTACCTCCGGAGCACCATCGGAGAGCACCAGGCAGTGCAGTAATCAGTAATAAGAGGTGTTCTCATTATTAAGCTTATAAAGCATAAACCAGGTCACCACAAGCTTTGAAGATACTGATCATCAATTATTTCGCTAATTGTTTGTTCTGTTTGCATGTCTCAGGGTAAAAGGAAAAAGTCACTGAAGCGAAAAAGAGACACCAATAATTGCTACCTCAGTGACAGTTGGTTTTTAATATCTCATTATTTATGATTTGTTTTGTTGTGCATATGTGACTTTAAGTCTACTGTATTAATGTATACCCAAGAAGCCTACTGTGTAACACTTCTGAAAGAATTACACAAATTAATCAGCAAACCTAGGCATAGAATCTGCCCCGCAAAGTCCTGAAAGACTGTTATTACGTGTGTGTGTGTGTGTGTGTGTGTGTGTGTGTGTGTGTGTGTGCATGGGCGTGTGTATGAATTCAAGAGTCTTCACTTATGGTGTTGAACTTCTTGCTGTCAAGGAAGTGCTATGTAGCCATGTTGCAGCGTAAAAATGCCAAACTTTTTCTGGCCATTGTCATTTTGTTTACAAGCATAACAAGGCATTCTGACTGTCCTCAAAAATGGATTAAAGTTCTCTAAAAAGGCTGGGCACAGTGGCTCATGCCTGTAACCCCAGCACTTTGGGATGCTGAGGTGGGCACATCGCTGGATCTCAGAAGTTCGAGACCAGCCTGGCCAACGTGATGAAACCTCGTCTCTACCAAAAAAAAAAAAAAAAAAAAAAAACGCACACACACACAGAAAATTAGCCAGGTGTGATGGCGCGTGTCAGTAGTCCCAGCTACTTGGGAGGTTGAGGTGGGAGGATCACTTGGGCTTGGGATATGGAGGTTGCAGTGAGCCAAGATCACACTACTGCACTTCAGCCTAGGTGTCAGAGGGAGACCTTGTCTCAAAAAACGAACAAAGAAAAAACCTCTCTAAAATAACAACAACAACAACCCTAATTACTTTGCATAATTACTTTAGGATAATTATTAAGTTGAAGTTAACATGAGTAATGAATCTGGAACATCATGGAATTCCATAAAAGGATTTGATTCTCTCAGTTCTAGCCATAAAGATAAGAGGTACATTAGGATGAAGACATCCCTTTCTTAGAGCTGTGGAAGTCATTAAGTGCACAACACAGCCATTTCTGGCCATTTATAACTTACAAGGCAATACCTCTATATTTTTCTTCCTTCCATTCAGTAATGTTTCATTAACAGATTAAATATTACCTGAAACTAAAGACTTCACTACTTATTGTTAAACTGAAAACGGAAATTCTCCAATAAAGAATGTTTTTAAGTTATGTTCAGAGATGCACATGTATACATTATAAAGTTTGGGGAAACTGATAGAAGTTGGTGTTTATGTGTGTCTTAAGCCAAGGAAAATACTATTTTGTCTACATCAGACTTCAAAAAAGTCAAGAAATTCTTTCTTTGAAGGGATCTTTCAAGGTCATTTCGTACCCCGCCAACTTAACTCTGCAGAATACAAAAAATGATAGGACTTTGCTTTTGCAGAGCTAATTTCTTCATATCACATTGAAGTACTTAGATCCCTAGTAAAGAGCTTTAATGGTCTCTGTCTAGAAGAAATAAAAGTAAATAATTGGCCAGGTGCTCACACCTGTAATCCCAGCACTTTGGGAGGCCAAGGTGGGTGGAGCATTTGAGGTCAGGAGTTTGAGACCAGCCTGGCCAACATGGTGAAACCCTGCCTCTACTAAAAATACAAAAATTAGCCTGGTGTGGTGGTGGGTGCCTATAATCCCAGCTACTCGGGAGGCTGAGGCAGGAGAATCACTTGAACCCAGGAGGTGGAGTTTGCAGTGAGCCAAGATCGCACCACTGCACTCCATCCTGGGTGACAGAGCAAGACTCTGTCTCAAAAAAAGAAAAAAAAAGTAAACAATTACCATTGAAGTAAACTTTAGTCAGTTCTAGAAACTTGGCAGAGCCCATGCCCTTTCTCAATGGAGTCAACTTTTCCTGAACAAACTGTGCGGACAGGATTAAACTGATATGACAACATTTCTCGTTCTGAGGAAGGTAAAGCTCAATTCTCTTTCTAATATGAAAAAAATGAGGTTATTGAAAGATACCTGGTTTCTTTACAAAATTAACATGGGGAAGAATTATTTAAACACTTTGTAGGAGAATAGATTTCAGGTAACTGCACCTGTACTGTGGAAAATTACTCTTCAATTATGCAAAGTAATTAGGGTTGTTTTTCAACTGTTATGAAAACCCTGCAGTGTGCTAGAAGGTGCCTGCAACTCATGTGAAGATTCCATCATTGGAAGAAGGTGAGGGAATACGATTTGAAATAGAAAGCAGAAGAAAAAAGAAACCTGCTAGGGAAGAGGTATTTGTAAAATACTTAACTGACACACAGTGAGAAACAATTTAAAACATATTTGTTGATCACTTATAATTCACCTAGTATGCTAATAAGATTAATGAGATTTTCATGTCATTAAAATTCCCTTTTTAAAGATCCCTTTTTAAAGAATGAACTGTGCTAAGTGGTAATATGCAATTACAAATGGTCAATATATTACTTTAAATCTGAGTTTTTGAACTCTGTCTAGACTGATTTTAAAATTTATTTTTATGAGACAAAAGTAAAAGACTTAAGGCATGTTCTGATCCTAAAATAAGTAGAGGAAATGTTATTACCTTAGTAATTTTTAGGTTTTTCTTAGTGGCAAATTCTTTATTCCCAAGGCTGAAGTTTTTAAATGATTTCATTGACAATGAATAAAAACTCATGAAGAAATAACCTTCATTTCACTTCAGTTGTCTTCCACATGCCTGCTCAGTGAGATGAATCAAGGCTCTTGAAACATTTGTTTTTGGTACACATAGTAACTCTCCTTGATGGTATAGATGGCATTGAAACTGTAATCACGACCATGACTTAAGAACGATTAAGGTCATCAGGCTACAATATCCATATTCCAACAAATCTGTGAGAGAGGATTTCATTCTAGGGTGTTCCCTTTGTCTTCTTCCCTTTTGTATTTCTATCATTGTCCATATTTCTATCACCATGATTGTAATCACTGACCTCAACAATAATAAAATCAAACAACTGCTTGATAACTGCTGTAACAGAAATTGAACTGAGCATAATTAAAGTTTGGTTTAGTACTTGTTAGTTTAGAAAGTAAAATCATCAAATCATAACTATCTATTAATACCAATTGATAGTCTTGGTTCCATGAACTCCAGCATCTCTCTTTCACTTACACTACTCTCAGATGAATTGTAAGCTAAATATTTGTTTCTAAGACTATCCTTTTACATTTCTCTCAGCCCTTCATAATAACAGTGACACCGAGCACCACAAGCCTCCTGTTGAAAGTCGTAGTTTCAGTTAATTGTTGATACTAATGTGAAACCCACTTGCATGCTTTATCTTTTTTTAAGGCTCATAAATGAGTTGTCCATGTTTTCTGCCTTCATTTTCTAGCCTCTCAGTGAGATAGGAAGCATGCTTTAAAAACATCACCTCCCTCAGGACTGATTGTGCCTTAGAACTTCCACTGAAGTCAATAGGTGCTTTGTGTACACTCAGACTGGACTCATAATGAGCAGAGTTGATGAGAATCCAGCTTTCCAAGGATGACTAGTGCTGAGTCTTCAAGGTCATTCATCATTTTCATCTGAGAAGGGAGACCCTTTATTTGCTCTCTCTTCTCAAATAGGTACACAATTAAAGGAGGAATTATTCCTCCCAGTGGCAATCACTTTATTAACAAAGGGCACGTTGAGCCCCCATCTCCTCTCATTGCCAGATGGTCTGTGTGCCCAAGCAACTGAAGGCAGCCTCAATGAATATCTTACTTTTTTTCCTCAGAACTGCTGGCTCCATTACTTCTCTGCTGGCAAAAAGTGAAAGAAAATCCCCCTTGTAGGTTTACACTGCATTATTTAATTTTTTTTTGTAAACTATGAGTCAACATAAACAAAAGTGGCACCTTTTAGGTTGCCTATCCAATAATTAGGTTCAAATTACCATTTTTTAAGTTCTAAAAATCTGATATTGTGAGCCCATATTTAGAATCGTCTGCTGGACAAAGTTGCAATTATGATAAAGTAGAGAAAAAGCCTTTATCCTAAATAGCATGCATCTTATCAACTTTCATCAAACATACCCAGATAGCACAATGCTCATAGTAATTTGTAAATTCACTTAGTAATAGAATTCTGGACTTCTGACAATGTCATTAAACCTAACACTCTTGAAATTTTCATAGTGCACTGAACATGATTTAACTGAGAGATGCTCTTGATCATATTTGTAAATAAAGACCTCCTGCCCCCAAAGAATACCATTCTTTTTCTAGGCATCGGTAAGTAAAGGAGAAGGAAAGTATCTTAGGAGGAAGATGGTTTGGGATAAAATCAGCAAAAGATGCTGTCTATGCTAGAAGGATAGCATAAGCTATGCTGCAGTAATAAACAACTCCCCAAATCTCAGCGACATAATACAATAAAAGTTTGTATTTATTGTGAGTTGCACTGCTCTCCTGTGAGGCTGTTCTTCAAATGGTGACTGAGAGATCTCAGCAGCCTCCATCTTATAGCTATGCCATCTGAAACTCTTGGCCTCCAACAATACCATAGGAAGGAAAGAGAGAGGAGGAAGAGGTATAGCAGCTCTTAACTGACCAGCAATGACATGTATACCTTCCACCCAGTATCCAATGGCTACAACTAGTCACATGCGCCCAACCTCATAGAAGGTCTGGAGAATGTAGGTGGCCACAAAACATTTGATGACTACAAACTCACGCTACTACATTTTCTAAATAGCAAAGAGATTATCTAAAATTAGGATAAACACATAGTGGCACTGATGCCAACATACTCCCCAATGCATTGTTCTATAACTAGGGTTTGCTGTGATGCAAAACAACCAAAAAAATCAGACAAAAACAAAAGCAAACAATCAACAGAAGCCCCTAGTGATGGTCCTCTCCTCATGGAGTTTCCTAGCCAAGTGGTTTTGGAGAAGCCTTTAGTGTCGCTAAGTTTCATACTTCCCACCTGTACTATAAGGATATAATATTATCTCCTGGCAGCATTATCTTGAGGAATAAAGAAGATGTTGTGAGAATTAAATGAGATAACATATGTTAAAGTTAAATATCTAACAAAATTCCTCACACATTTTAGGTTCTTAATAAATATTATTTCTCTCCTCCAATAAAGACCTATATAAATAGTATTTATAGCTAATATTACTTTTGGTGGGATGAATTACAAGGTAGTAATTAAAAGACTAGATTCTATCAATTTGAGCAGCAGCAATTGAAAAACATTAAAAATAAAATAAAAGAGTGGCTCTAGAGTCCAATAGTCCTGATTTAACATGAGTGGATCACTTAAATCTCTGTGACTTTCTACGGCCCCCCTCAATGAGAACTACACAGCATGATCACCTTAACTTATTCTTAAGATTTGTGACTGATAGAAATCAGAGACGGAGAAAATTTAAGGACACCAAGAAGTGTAGTTCAGAGAATCAGCAGCAAGTCAACGTTGTGGCCAGTCCCATTTTGTCCTTGTACCACAGTACTGTGAATTGTGATGGTTCCTTCAACCCTTCCCGCCCCAGTCTTGTTTGGTCCAAATAAGCCCTAACTTTGATCCAGATAATGCTTGCTCTTTTTTAAGCCTAAGACCCAGAAGCATACTTAATGACTATGTCAGAGGCATTTGAACCAGAGCAACTCTATCTTTAATAGGGACTGGGTAAAATGAAGCTGAGACCTACTGGACTGCATTCCCAGGAGGTTAGCATTCTCAGTCACAGGATGAGATACGAGGTCAGCACAAGATACAGGTCGTAAAGACCTTTCTGATAAAACAGGTTGCAGTAAAGAAGCTAGCTACAACCCACCAAAACCAAGATGGCAATGAAGGTGACCTTTGGTTGTCCTCACTGCTCATTATATGCTAATTATAATCCATTAGCATGCTAAAAAAATCTCCTACCAGCGCCATGAGAGTTTACAGATGCTGTGACAATGTCAGAAAATTACTCTACATAGTCTAAAAAGGGGAGGAAATCTCAGTTCTGGGAATTGCCCACCTCTTTCCCAGAAAACTCATGAATAATCCACCTTGTTTAGCATATCATCAAGAAATAACCATATAAATGGCCAACCAGCAGCTCATGCTGCTGCTCTGCCTATGGAGTAGCCATTCTTTATTCCTTTGCTTTCTTAATAAACTTGCTTTCACTTTGCACTGGGACTCGCCCCAAATTCTTTCTTGTGTGAGATCCAAGAACCCTCCCTTGGGGTCTGGATTGGGACCCTGTTCTGGTAACATCTACACCTGTTATCTTCAGCTCCCACAAGGCAGTTCCTAGAAGTACCTTCATATAGTGTTAGTATGCCCAATTGTTCCCATGCACTCCAAAACATGAGAGTGAGTTTCCAGAAACAGAAGAGAATGTATTTATAGATAAGATCTAACTCTATTTGAAGAAAAGGGAAGATTCTGAGAGAAAGTCTTGGCCCTGGCCTCATTAAATTTAAGATGCAAACTATATATAAACAAAGATAAAATGAAGTATAAGAGGCAGAGAATTTGGCAGAGGACTTCAATTCTAACTTTCATTGAAAAAAGCAAAAGTTAATGACACCTACAGGTGAAATAATCATATTTGCATTTCTGTAGTTTGTATTTTTCCTACACAAATTTAAGGAAAAGAAAAATGGAACTTAGTTATATCTGTGTGCTATTGTGTTTGGAGGTAGTGGGATGCCTTGTGGCTTATCCAGTATAGTTTCTTTTCATTTTTCACTTTTGCTATTATTTAAATTTTCATGTCTTATCTTCCTAACTGGATTATGTATTTACTTACAGATGGAAAGAGTTCTTGATACTTCCCAGCAGGGTGATTAAGAGAACGGACAGTCAACAGACAGATTTGGGTTTGAATCCAAACTCCCGTGAAATATGTAACCTTCGGCAAATTACTTAACTGCTCTGAGTCTTTGAAGAAGGAGAATACTATGTACGGGGTTGAATAGTGTCCCCCAAAGACTCATGTCCCGCCCAGACCTCAGAATGTGACCTTATTTGAAAACAGGGTTGTTGCAGATCTATTATTAAGAAAAGGTCGTATTGGAATAGGATGGGCCCTTAATCAATATGACTAGTGTCCTTACAACAAGAGGAGAACACCATGTGAAGAAACAGAGAGGGACAACAGCCATGTGTCAACAGAGACAGAGACTGCAGTTAAGCAGCTGCAAGCCAAGGCCTGCCAAGGATTGTTGGAAACCACCAGAAGTTAGGAGAGAGGCATGGAACCAATTATCTCTCTGAGCTCCCCCCAAAAATGAACAAACACATCACCTTGATTTTGGACTCCTGACCTCAACTGTGAGCTCAACATTTTTGTTGTTTTAAGCCATTAAATTTGTTATAATTTATTATGGCAGCCCTAGGAAACTAATACAACTTACTAATAACACATTATAAATTTTAATAGAAACAGTGTGTATGGAGCACATACCATGATGCCTAGCATGCAGTAATCACACAGTAAATATTAACTCTTTTTTTTTTTTTGACAGTCTTGCTCTGTTGCCCAGGCTGGAGTGCAGTGGCACGATCTCAGCTCACTGCAACCTCCGCCTCCCAGGTTCAAGCGACTCTCCTGCCTCAGCCTCCTGAGTAGCTGGGACTACAGGAACGTGCCACCATACGTGGCTAATTTTTGTATTTTTAGTAGAGACGGGTTTCAACATGTTGGCCAGGCTGGTGTGGAACTCCTGACCTCAGATGATCCATCAGCCTCAGCCTCCCAAAGTGCTGGGATTACAAGCCTGAGCCACTGCACCCGGCCAAGTATTAGTTCTTACTTACCTATTAAGGCCGGCATGGTGAGGCCTGTAATCCCAGCACTTTGGGAGGCTTAGGTGGTCGGACCACTTGAGGCCAGGAGTTCAAGACCAGCCTGGCCAACATGGCAAAACCCCATCTCTACTAAAAATACAAAAAAAAAAAAAAAAAAAAAGGAAAGAAAGAAAAAATAGCCAGGCATGGTGGTGGTGCCTGTAATCCCACCTACTGGGAAGGTTGTGGCAGGAAAACTGCTTAAACCCAGGAGGCGGAGGTTGCAGTGAACCTCCGCCTCCCGAATTCAAGTGGTTCTCCTGCCACAGGACACTGAGCCACTGCACTCCAGCCCAAGCAAAAAAAAAAAAAAAAAACACCAAAAACTTACTTATTAAGAGAATGAGAGGCAATATACCAAAAAACTGTCCTCTTCATTCAGAATTTCACTAGAGAATAAGGCGATTGGAATCCTCCCTTTCTAATTTCTAAGAGCAGAATAAATCATGTAATTATAAATAAACATTAAATGTTGTTGGTTGGAGTTTTTGGATGTTTGATGGTTGGAGTTTTTGGGTGTTCGATGCTGGCCATTTTAAGTAATGAGGCAAAAATGAGCTGATTGAACTAATTAAAGAAAAATAAATTTTATATATATATATATATATATATATAGTTATTGAATCTGAGGGTTGCACAGCTGGGAAAACACAGGGCATAGAAAATATTGAGGCAGGAACTATATAACCATAGATCAGCTGCTGGAGAAGCAAAGAAAGAGAAATCAACTCTGAGCAGTTAAATGAGAGAAGAAAAATTCCTGATAGCAGGCCAAAGCAAGCAAACAGACTAGGAGGAAGAGTACAGGCTTCAGCAAACAAAGGGACTTTTGGGCTAGATTTTACTTTTCCTACTGCCACTTTTTAAAAATAGAATGCTTATTCATTTTTTTCCTCCAAAATCTTATTTTCAGGAGTAAAGGATTTTTGAAAATACAAAGGAGCACAAAAAATAAAAAGCACTCATAATATACTGAGACAGAACCTATTTAAAATCCAATAAATTAAGTTCCCTGAAAACAGGAGTCGTGTCTGTCTTGTTCACTGAATTCCCTCCTCTGTGCCTGCCAGGCAGGAGCTATGCAATAAATATTCATTATATGATAAAATGAGCTTGTTTAAGTATATTTCCTTCCTGACTTTCTCCAAATGTATATCTTTTGGGATTACGCTGTATCTGTTGTTCCACTTGAGAACTGAAGTTCTAGCTTTCTAGTTTCGGCATTTCCTATCTTACAAGTATCAATCAGGGCAGCCACTGTGCACTGGGAAAGTTATTATAACACTATTTTGATGAACACAAATGGCAAATGTGGGTTCTAGTTTTATTGTATATTCCAAAATCTTAGAAAATATAAGAGCAATGATTTTCATAAAATGTTGCAGGTGTTTCTCATGAGAATAAACTCGAGAAACAAAATTACTTCTGTAATTTATTATTATATTTTAAAAATAGAAGAAAGAAAATATTAAATTAAACTAAAATTGATAAAGTTCTATCACCTAGAGAAAAGCACTGTTTTACTTTCACTTTCTTCCACTTGAGAATAAATACATATATTCATGTGTTTTTTTTTCAATAAAAAAGTGATTACATACTACATACTGTTCTGTAACTTGAATATTTTATTTAAAAAAATTTATGCTGGCTAGGCATGGTGGCTCACACCTATAAATCCCAGCACTTTGGGAGGCTAAGGTGGATGGATCACTTGAACTTAGGAGTTCAAGACCAGCTTGGACAGCATAGTGAAATTCTGTCTCTACAAAAAATTAGCCAGGTATGACACCACATGCCTGTAGTCCCAGCTACTTGAGAGACTGAGGTGGGAGGATCACCTGAGCTCAGGGAGGTTGAGGCTGCAGTGAGCCATGATTGTGCCACTGTACTCCAGCCCGAGCAACAGAGAGGCCCTGTCTGAAGAAAAAATATATATATTTTACTTAATATATTTAATATATATTCTCTATATATATACGTGTAATTATAAACATTTATATATATAAAACAAATATATATATATATAGAGAGAGAGAGAGAGAGAGAACATACTTCCATACTTCCATGGCAAAATTAGAGATATAATATTGATGACAGTATGAGATTCTATAAAATAGCTGTAGCATAATTTATTTAAACTGCCCCATGTTGCTATATATACAGAACATTTCTATTATTTTGATATTACAAACAATGCTGTGATAAATATCATTATGCATACATCTTTGTGCACCTGTCCAATTATTTCCTTAGGTTACTGTCCAAGAAGCAGAATGCTGTGTCAAATGAACTAAGAGTTTTTGATACTGCTGCAAAATTGTACCCAGAAAGATGGTATCAGGGAGACATTATCAAGATGGCTGACTCAAGGTGCCCAGCACTTAACTCCTCCATGAGAAAAAGATGAAAACAACAAAAAGATAACCACAAGCTGAATACAATGTCTAAGAGAGAACAACGGAATTCAACAAAGAAGCAACAAAGACCCTCAGAGGCAGAAAAACTTGAAATGGCAACATAGAGAGGTAAGTGAAGCAGCCAAATGGGATCAGCTCAGAGCCAAGAGGGACTTCCCATCACAAGGCAAAGGTTAAGTGGGAGATTCCCCAGTAGTCCACATTCCCAGAACATATATCCTTAATCCTGACTACAGGAGAGCCCCTCATCCCTCACAGGCCCCGAGTCCACTACAGGGAGCTGTGTAGAGTCCATGCAACTGCATTGTCCCTGAGAGAGAATCCACACTGGATGCTCCACAGCCCCCAGGAACCAGGCTGATTTAGCACGACACCATGTTGAGGGCAGAACTACTGTCAGACTAAACCTTTCCATGGGACCCAACAGCTCCTACATCTACATATTCCTGGAGTCCCAAAAATGCCCCCACATATCCATCAAGAGAGCTGTAGCACTGTGACACCACCTGGACCCAGGGGTGCAGCTGCATCCTCAGCACCTGGGCCCACACAGTAGACTACATCCTGGAAATGTGGTTCACTACATCAGGGAGGCTCCCTCTGGACATAGAGGAATGAAGTACACAGTCTCTAGAACCTGAAAACTATTAGCTTAGAGCCACTACTGCCAAGAGCAACTCTGCCCAACCCCAATGGTAGGGCTGCCACATGACCACTACCCAGAGGACTGAGGACCAGTCGACCCAAGGTCTGCCATTGCCATCACTGGTGGCTCCACCCCCTCCAATGGCAGGAGCACCACATACCCAAGCACAGTCCTCAGGGACCTGAGGACTTGTCTGTCCAGTGTTCTCATCTCCAGCAAAACCACTCCACAGCCTCAACAGACAATTGAAGTATAAGCCCCTGCAGAACTCACAGACACTGCTGACAGTGATTACAGGTGAAGAAATCACAGGGAGACTACACTACTGCACCCACCCAGAACCAAAGTCAAAGCACACTACACAACTGACACTGTAGATACATCTACAGGAAACCCTTTCCTTTTGAAAGCTACTACATACAATTGAAAGAAATGACTGTTACACCAGATATGCAGATATCAACATAAGGACACAAGAAACACAAAAAGCAAGAAATATAATTCTCTAATGACAGACTTCAAGAAAAAGAAATCTATGAAATGCCTGAAAAAGAATTCAAAATAATGATATTAAAGAAATTCAGTGAGAGACAAGAAAACACAGATACATAATGCAAAGAAATTAGGGAAATAATTCATTATCTTAATGAGAAATTCAACAAAGAAATAGATATCATAAAAAAGAATCAAACAGAACTTTTGGAACTGAAGAATTTAATGAATGAAATGAAAGTACAATTAAGAGCTTCAACAATAGAATAGAATAAATGAAGAAAGAATTTCTGAACTTGAAGATAGATCTTTAAAAGTAACCCATCAGACAAAATTTTAAAAGAAAAGCAACTAATAAAAAGAAGAGAACAAAATAAAAATAATGAAAAAATTCTACATGACATATGGTATTCCATTAAGCAAAAGAGTATTTGCATTTTCAGAGTTCCAGAAAAGAAAGAGATGGGGAAAAGCATAAAAAACATATTTTATAAAATAATTGCTAAAAATCTCAAGTCTTAGAATATATATAGACATCACGATATAGGAACCTCAAAAGTTCCCAAATAGATTCAACCTAAAATGATTCTCTCTGAGGTACATTATAATTAAACTGTCAAAAGTCAAAGACAAAGAAAGAACTGTAAGAACAGCAAACGTGAGAGAAAAGTGTGAACATCAGTTCACAAGAATCTCCTCAGACTAATATTTGATTTCTCAGCAGAAATATTACAGACAAGGAGAGAATGAGATTATATATGCAAAGTGCTGAAAAGAAAAGAAAAACCTGCCAGCCAATAATACTATATCCAGCAAAGCTATGATTTAGAAATGAAGGAGAAATAAATTCATTCCCAGAGAAGCACAAACTGAGGGAATTCATCACCACTAGACTGTCCCTACAAGAAATGCGTAAAAGAGTCCTACATCTGTAATCAGAAGAATAATATCTACCATCATGAAAACACATGAAATTATAAAACTCGCTGGCAGAACATTTCTTCAAAAATTCTGAGTGAAGCAAAAAAAAAAAAAAGAAACATAAAAAGAAACCTCATTGCTAGAACAGATACACAAATGAGAAAGAGAAAAGGGTAAAATATTAATATTATCACTACAGAAAACCACCAAATTGCAAAGACAAACAATAAGAAAAAAGAAAGGAACAAATAATATATAAATTAATCAGAAAACACTAGAATGACAAGAGTATGTCCTCATCTATCAGTAACAACTTTAAATGTAAATAGCTTATATTCCCCAATTAAAATACATAGACTGGCTGAGTGGATTTCAAAAACCAGCAACTAACTATATGCTGCCTGCAAGAAATTCACCTTGCCTATAAAGACACATAGATTGAAAGTTAAGGAATGAAAAAGACAGTCCAAGCAAACAGAAACCCAAAGTGTGCAGGAATAGCTATACTTATATCAGACAAAATATACATTAAGACAAAAAACATAAACAGAGACCAAAAATTATTATGTAATCATAGACATATCAGTTCACTAAGAAGATGTAACACTTGTACATATAAATGTATGTATGCATCCTACACCAGAGCACCTAGATATATAACGCCAATAACAGAGCTAAAGGAAGAGATTTACTACAATACTATTATAGTTGGGGACTTCGACTCCCAACTTTTAGCATTACACAAATCATCTAGACAGAAAATTAACAAAGAAACATCAGGTTTAATCTGCAAACAGACCAAACAGACCTAACAAACATTTACAGAACATTTCATCCAACTGCCACAGGACATGCATTGTTCTCATCAGCATATGGAAAATTCTCCAGGATAGACCATGTATGATGCCACAAAACAAGTCTCAACAAGTTTGAAAAAAACATCAAATCTTATCAAATGTCTTTTCAGATTATAATGGAATAAAACTATATATCAAATAACAAGAAAAATTTTGAAAACTGTACAAATACATGGAAATTAAACAACATTCTCCTGAATAACCAATGAGTCTATGAAGAAATTAAGAAGGAAACCAAAAAAATTATTGAAACAAATGAAAATTGAAACACAGCTTATGAAAACCCATGAAATCTAGCCAAAACAGTGCTGAGAGAAATTTATAGCAATAAATTCCTGCACCAAAAAAGTGGAAAGTTTTAAAATAAACAACCTAATGACACAGCTCAAAGAATTAGAAAAGAAAGAACAAACCAAACCCAAAGTTACTAGAAGGAAAAAAAATGCTAAAGACTGGAGCAGAACTAAATAAAATAGAGACTAAAAAAACCCCCAAAACTTGAGTTTTTTAAAAAGACCAACAAAATCAACAAACCATGCATTAGACTAAGGAAAAAAAGAGAGAGAAGCCCTGTATAAATAAAATCAGAAACAAAAAGAGACATTACAACTGGTACAACAGAAACACAAAGGATCATTGGAGACTATTATGAACACTTATATGCCAAGAAAGTGGAAAACTTAGAAGAAATGGATAAATTCCTGGACTCATATTACTTAATGAGATTGAACTAAGAAGAAAGAGAAAACCTGAGCAAACCAATAACCAGTAAGGAAATTGTCATTAACAGAAAGTCTCCCAACAAAGGAAATCCCAGGACCAGGTGGCTTTACTGTGGAATTCTACCAAGCCTTTATAAATTAACCAACAACAATTCTTCTCAAACGATTTCAAAAAAATTGAAGAGGAGGGAATTCTTCCTAATTCATTGTACAAGGCCAGCATTATTCTGATACCAAAACCAGACGCAGACACAACAAAAAAAGAAAACTAAAGGCCAATAATCCTGATGAACATATATGCAAAAATCCTTAACAAAATATTAGCAAACCAAATTCAACAGCACATCAAAAAGATAATATACCATGATCAAATGGGATTTATTCCAGGGATGCAAGGATGCTTCAATATACACAAATCAATAGATGTGATACATTACATCAATAGAATGAAAGACAAAAACCATAAGATCATCTCAATAGATCAGAAAAAACATGTGATAAAATTAAACATTGCTTCATGATTAAAGACTCTCATTAAAATAGATATAGAAAAAAACTACCTCAACAAACTAAAGAACATATATGACAAGACCACAGCTGACATCATACTGAGTGGGAAAAGGTTTTCCTCTAAGAACTGGAACAAGACAAGGATGCCCACTTTGAGCACTCTTAATCAACATAGCACTGGAAGTCCTAGCCAGAGCAATTAGGCAAGAGAAAAAGAACAGCATCCAAATTGGAAAAGAGGAGGTCAATTTGTCCCTGTTTGCAGGTGACATCATCTTACATATAGAAAAACTTAAAGATGCCAACAAAAAATCCTCAGAACTGATAAATTCTTTACAGTTGCAAGATACAGTATCATCATATAGAATTTAGTATTGTTTCTATACAGCAGCAGCAAACTGGCTGAAAAATAAATCAGGAAAGAAATCTCATTTAGTATCACTTCAATGTGGTTAAATTTAGGAATAAATCATGGAAGTGAAAGAGCTCTATAGTGAAAACTACAAAACGCTGATGAAAGAAATGAAAGAGAACACACAAATGAAATGGAAAGATATCACAAGCTCATGAATTGGAAAAATTAATAGTTAAAATGACCATAATACCTAAAGCAATCTGTAGATTTAATGTGATCCCTATCAAAATGCCAATCACATTCTTCACAGAAATAGAAAAAAAATTCCTACAATTCATATGGAAACACTAAGAGACCCTGAGAAGCCAAAGCAATATCCAGCAAAAAGAGCAAAGCTGGAGGCATCACACTGCTTAACTTCAAAATATACTACAAAGCTACAGTAACCAAAATACCATGGTATTGGTATAAAAACAGAAAAACAGACCAAAGAAACAGAATAGAGAACCCAGAAATAAAACCATGTATTTATATTCAACTGATTTTTGGCAAAGATGCCAAGAACATACATTAGGGAAAGGACACACTCTTCAATAAATGGTGCTGGAGAAACTGAATATCTGTATGCAGAATAAAAAACTGGACCACTACACCTCACCATACATAAAGTCAACTCAAAATGGATTAAAGACTTAAATGTAAGACCCGAAACTATAAAAAAAACTAGAAGAAAACATAGGAGAATGCATCGGGACATCAGCCTAGGCAAAGATTTCATGGGTAAGACTTCAAAAGCACAGGCAACAAAACCAAAAATAGACAAATGAAATTACATCAAACTACAAAGCTTCTGCACAGCAAACAAATCAATCAACAGACTAAAGAGACAACCTGTAGAATGGGAGAAAATATTTTCAAACTATACATCTGACAAGAGCTGTAGAATATACAAGGAACTCCACTCAACAGCAAATAAACTAATAATCTCATTTTAAAATGGGCAACCAGCAGATGGTGATGAAGGTTATCTCCAGCCACCCTCATTGCTCATTAGCGTAAGACACTCCCACCAGCACGATGACAGTTTACAAATGCCATGGCAATGACCCAGAAGTCACCACTCCTTTCCTAGAAAGTTCTAAATAACTCGCCCTTTAATTTGCATGTAATTGAAATTTGGAATAAGTATGTATAAACACAGTTGCCAGGAGCCCATAGTTGCCCATTTTGGGCACACTGTCTATGAGTTAACCCTGTTCCACAAGGAGCAGTACTGTGCAATAAAAGATTGCTGTCTAAAACCACCAGCTCACCTTTGAATTCTTTCCTGGGCAAAGCCAAGAATCCTTCCAGGGTATGCCCCAATTTTGAGGCTTGCCTGTCCTGAATCAATTGCAAAACCAGATGGCATTATAAAAGAAGAAAATGACAGACCATTATCCCTCATGAACATAGATGCAAAAGTCCTTCAAATATTAGCAAATCAAATCTAACTATGCTAAAAAAAGAGTAATACATTGTAACCAAGTAGAATTTATTTCAGAAATTCAAGACTGATTTAACAATCAAAATCAATCAATGTAATTAATAAAATTAACAGACTAAAAAAACTCAAATGATCCTCTCAATAGAAGCACAAAAAGCATATGATAAAATCCAACATCCACTCATTACCAAAACTCTCAGCAAACTAGGTATCAATAGAAATTTCATCCACCTGATAAGGGCATACACAGAAAAAGCTTCAGCTAACTTTATATTTCATGGAGAAAAACTGACTGTTTTCTCCCTAAAATAAGGCATGAGATAGAAATGTCTGCTCATATGACTTCTAATAGACATGGTCTTGAAGTTCCTAAACAATGCAATGAGAGATTAAATATAGACTGGAAAGGTATAAACAAAATCATATTTATTTTCAGACAGCATTATTGTCTATGTAGAAAGACCCAAGAAATCTGTCCCAAAAGTGACAACTAATAGTAAATTTAAAGGAATTCAAGATGCAAGATAAATTAAGAAAAATTAATTGTATTTCTATATAACAACAAAATGCAATTGGAAATTAAAATTAAATCAATCTAAAAAAATCATGTATAATGCCACCAAAAATGTAAAATTATTAGAGATGTATTTCACTAAATATGTACAAGACCTATATGCTGAAAAGTAGAAAACATTGATGAGAGAAATTAAAGAGACCTAAATATATGGAGAGATACACTATGTTGCCAAGATTTTAATTCTTCACAAATTGATCTATGGATTTAATCTCATTCTAATAAAAATCCCTGTGGGTTTTTTGATAAGAATTATTAAGCTGATTCTAAAATATATGTGGAAATGCAAAGGACTTAGAATACTTAATTTTGATAATGATAACACAGTTGGAGAACTTACATAAAATGAAACCACAGTGAGATGCCATCACATACCTATTATAATACATACAATTAAAAATAGAAAAATTTTTTAAAACTCCAAATAATCATAACAAGTGCTAGCATGGAGGTGGAGCATCTGGAACTCTAATATACTGCTAAAAAGTCTCACTTTGGAAAACAGCCTGACAGTCTTCAAAAGTTAAACATATACCTACACTATGACCTTTCCATTCAATTTCAACATTTTTTTTTTTTTAAACAGTCTGTCACCCAGGCTGGAGTGCAGTGGTACCATGTTGGGTCACTGCAACCTCCACCTCCCAGGTTCAAGTGATTCTTCTGCCTCAGCCTCCCAAGTAACTGAGATAACAGGCACTCGCCACCATGCCTGGCTAATTTTTGTATTTTTAGTAGAGACGGGGTTTCGCCATGTTGGCCAGGCTGGTCTCAAACTCCTGACCTCAGGCAATCTGCCTGCCTCAGCCTTCCAAAGTGCTGGGATTACAGGCATGAGCCACCACGCCCAGCCCAACTCTAATATATTTACCCAGGAAATGAAAACATATATCCACATAAAGATTTGTACACTAACATTCAAAGCAGCTTTATATAGCTACCCCTCAAAAACTAAAAAGTCTAAAAAAACCCCAAATGGCCATCATCAGGTAGTAAACAAATTGTGTTATAGCCATACCATGGAAGTAAAAAAGAAAAAACTATTCATACATCCAACATGGATGAATCTTAAAATAATTATGCTGAGTGATCGGAGCAAGACAATACACAACTACCTACTTTTTGATTATATTTATAGAAAATTCCAGAAAATGTTACCTAATTTATGGTGACAGAAAGCAGATCACTAATTGCCTGGGGAGAAGAAGAGATGGATCAATTACAAAGGGGCCCAAGGAAACTCTTGGGGGTGATGGATATGTTCGTTATCTTGGTATGGCAATGGTTTCACAGGTATGACAGGTATGTCATAACTCATCAAGTTATATACTTAAAATATGTGCAGTAGTGTACATCAACTACATTTTAACACTGCTGTAAAAATAAGTATGAAAGTATCCTTTTCTACATATTTATATCAGTTAATATACATCCTCTTAAGTTTCTGACAATTTTATAAGTACAAAATGGCACCTTACTTTTAAAATTTCTTTGATAACAATTTCAGATACGTATTTTTTGTATATTTTACTTCCACCATTTTTTTCACTACATTACCTCTCATATAAATTAAATATTCTATGGTCACTGACAAGCATTTTAAAACTACCTCCTTGAGATAATTTTTTAAAATCCTAGCCATGTAAAGGTTCATAATTTTTTTTCCTAATAGACTTTTAGTCTCATATCCTGTAAGTTCAATTAACTTTCGAAGGTGCCATAACTATGTCTTACTGTGTTTTGTTTAGGGGTGTGTGTGTGTCATTTTGTCATCTAGCTTAAGATGATTACACAATAGCCTCACAGACTCTTAGAAGACCTATGTGAAGAAAAATAACTTTTGCCTTTCACAACATTGAGAATGTCCAAGGGGATTTGCTCACAGATGTTCATATGTGAAGTTTAATCTCAGTAAGTAACTGCCATGAAGATTCATAACCAAGCTTATGTTTCAGCATTGTCATAAATCAAAAGGAAAAAATTCTCTCTAGTGTCAAATTTTCCCCAGACTTGTTCAACAATTCTTAACTGGAGCAATAGAATCTTGATACTATATTTTCTAGGTAACGATACAAATATGCATCCAGTCAGTAGAGAAGTCGAAAAGACAAGCATATAGATGATAAATAGTTGGAAGTTAGCTATAGCATGCTTCCTTTTAAAAGAATAGTGTTAAGTTTAACACTTATTTCTAAGGTAAAAGGTCATAAAAGACTAAAGTAAAGGAAAAAATTGCTGAAACGTTAGCGTAGTAGAAAATTTGCCTAAATATTTTTATTATTATTATTAGTTGTAGATAGTCTCTGTGGTGTGAATCACATTTCTCCTTACTTAGAGGCCATCAAGTAACGTGTCTTTCTAATGGTGTACCTTATGTCCACATGCATTTTGTTTAATAACCTATTTCAAAGGACATTTAATAACTCTTAAATGAGCATAATTGTCATATAAGTATATTTGGGCAACTTTCTGAGAGTGACTAGCTTTTCTAGCAAGTTACATCTGTAATAAAAATTATTACTAATGACAGTAATAGCTACTTTTTAATTGAATATCTACTAAATGCCAGGCACTATGCTAGGTACTCCATCTTCCCTAACTTCTCACAGTACCTAGTATTGTCTGTATTTTACAGATTAAGAAAGCGAGGCTTTCCCTGCTCACAGCGTATCATTTCCATGGCCTGAAGTTTAGAGTATTGTTTGCTGTGCCATGTTTCTGCTAAGAATTTGGTCAGATCTCTCTTGAGCTACTTAATTTCAAGGCATTATTCCTTTTTTTTCCCTCCTGAAGGATATAAAGTGTCTGGTTTGCTGAGTGAATTACCATGGGCAGAGTGAGGCAGAGAGCTTCCTTTATGAATAAGTAAATGCCATTAGGCCGTCAAAATAACCACATTTCTAGAAAAGGAGGACTTGACAGTTTCTCATCAACAAAAAAAAGTGTTAATGTCCTTTTGACTTTTTGGCTACACCCAAACCATTCTATGTTTTATAAACTTTCCAGAATGAACTTGCCCTGAGTTGGCTATCAGTTAGTACTTATTTTAAAAAAAGTATATGGAATATGGTGTCAGGATGGATTTTTTTTCATTGTTGATTCACTAATAGAGATTAATGGAAGCAACTAAGGAAAGATATAAAGATGGCAAATTGTGTAAGAGTAGAAGAACAATAAGAATGAAACTGATTCTGTTGCCTGTTGTGTCAGTAAGACAGTCCCATTTTCTCACATTGGAGAAACAGAGGCCCAGTAGTCATCATGCTGAGTTCCTTACTCCTAATTCTGCCTAATCTTGACAATAAACATTATTACTTCCTCATATACTTCTTCGATCCATGTTTTTGTCTTTAAATGCTATTTACCAGTTTCAAATAAGTTTAGAACCCCTCTGCTTACACACTTCTCACTTACTATAAATACAAATCTAAGTCAGGGCAAAATATATGAATTCTATTCATCATTCAATCATTCAAAGATACCCCAAGAGATTCTCATCCCCTCTCATTGCTTTTTCTTGCTGGAGTGCTCATCGGATATATTCACAAAGAAAACCTGTTTTCAATGAGATTTCAGGACACACAATCGAGCCAGGTGCAGTGGCTCATGCCTGTAATCCTTACCACTCAGAAGGCTAAGGTGTGAGGACTGCTTGAGTCCAGGAGTTCAAGACTAGCCTGGGTAACAAAGTGAGACCCGCCCCCTCATTTCTGGAAAAAAAAAAAGAAAGAAAAATTAAGCCAGGAGCGGTGGTGTGTGCTTGTAGTCCTGGAGGCTGCTCAAGCCCAGGAGTTCAAGGCTGTAGTGAGCTATGATTGTGCCACTTGCCCTCCAGCCTAGGCAACAAAGCGCGACCTTGTCTCTAAAAAATTTTTTTAAAAAGACTGAGTTCTGGCAGCCATAGTGGTCAGAGTGTGGTTACCATGCAGGCTGGCAACATTTAAGTTTAACCAAATATATTAATAAGTTATTTCTTCCAAGAGCAGAATAAAAATAACACCTGATTGCAAGAAAAGAAATTAAGGAGAAATACAAAGATTCTAAAGAGAAATGGCAGTACTGTCTTTCCTTGAGAGCATTTAAGCTAATCAATCACAGAGATTTAAAGTCATGCCTCTGGCATAATTCCAAAACCAAGGGCAACCCCAGACCAATTTTTTCCTTAACAAAATACTTTCCAAATTGAGAACCCCCCTCCAAATCTGCAATAATTGGTCCACTTTCTATTTGATATGGGATAGCTTTCTGACCTCAGTCTTTTCCAGAAACATAGAATGGACCTTTTAAAGACAGGGCACTATGTTCAGCAGCTATTTGAGAAGCTTACCCAGCTGCTTGGAGTTTTTAAAATCTGACTACCAAAGAAGAGCCATAACAGCCCCAACAATCGCACTCTATGGCAAGCACGATGAAAAAGCTGTAGAGATCCTTCGTTTTACCTACCACATTGTTAAAGAGGCATGTGAAAGAAACTGTGGGAACATGAAAGAAACCCTGGGTGAGAAACAAGCCAAGAGAAAACCTAAAGCCGCCTGTCACTTGCGCCACTCGCCGCCAAAGCTGTGGGTGCTGATAGCATTATTGTTTAATCTCTCTGAAGAATATGTGGGAGCAGAAAGCACAACATCCCCAAGTTGTTACTTTGTCACAACTTTACAGAATACATAAGCACTTCAGTAAATACACAGATTTTTTTTGCAAACTGTAAATCATCTGTGAGCCACCACTGTTCGACTAATTACAGCAAGAAGCTGTGCTCATTAGCTGTTCTCATCTGGCTCACTGCACGACCTAAATAGTCCGTAAATGAGCCGGCAATTATTGCTGTATTACCACTACCAGCTCCGCTCACATCAAAATATCTCCACCAAATGTTACGCCTGTTGGTATTATCAGGTTAGAAATTTCATAAACATATTGAAGCAGTTAATTGGGAGATTATTTTTAAAAATGCGAAAATAGAATCATCAGTGAAAGAGTTTTCATCAAACCCCAGATAGGCGGCTCCACCTATAGACAAGAACCTCAGAATGCAAGCATCTGGGAGCACACCATCGCCTGCTTCAAAACAACACTGGAAAACTAGGAACGCAAGGAAAATTTATATATGTTAAGTGGCAGAAAGGTGGACCATGCATATTCTTATGCCACCTAAAAACGACCTCCTGACTTGTTCAAAATAAAATGAAAGCATGTGCTCATGGGCCTAGGACCTGAAAGAACTTGAGCTAAACAGAAAAGCAAACAGCAATGTCAGTAAAACTTCATTATTTCTATCTCCATCATGTGGTATATTCTAAAGGATGACTAGGATTTTTTTCTTCTTGTTTGCTTGGTTGGTTGAACTTAAAATGCCAACATACATGTTAATGGTGAAAAGAAAGTAATAAAATAGTTTGACTTTGAAAAACAAATTTCCAATACCCTAAAACACTTCAGAAGCATCTATTTATCATATCAAGTGATTAGCTGATTATTGTATTCTTATTTATTCATTAAAATGTCCTCTTTGAGCCTCATTTTAGTTATTGTAGATATTTGAAGGTAATATGTTTTTAAACTCTGCCATTAACTCATATTTCACATTCATTCAGATTCACCCAACCTCAATTAACTTAATTTAATGAGATCCTATTGTGAACATTTTTATTATAAAAAGAGGGGGGTTTCAATACTGGGGCACTTTGTTCTTGTTCCTGATGGTCATCACATCAGATTCATCATTGATTATGATCCTGAAAAATATGGAAGGGATACCGAAAGTACTGAAAGCTAATGGGTGTTCTGATCCTGTCAGCTTTTCCCTACTTAACATCAAAGAAGAAAAAAACACTCTAATAAATATTTTATTTGATTCTTGATTCTCATACTAGTTTCTTGCATACGAGACAGAAACTGTCTCTAATGGGTTGAATATTTTTATTTACCCAGGCAAGGCTGATATCCCAATGTGGGCTATATGGCACAAATTATTTGATAGACTTTGGATAGGATACAGAATAGAACCAGTTAATGATATACTCTAAAAAGATGTTTTTCATGATGGAGATATTGACTATAACAATGATAATAATATTGAGAGGCAACTCTTCCTGTAAACCAATTAATTGACACCAATGGGCAAAAGAATGTGCACCATATTTGTTTAACTCTTTTTAGCTGTTAAGCTTTACAAAGAATTCTTAAAATATGATCAGCGAATATGTTTTCCCATGAATTTCATGAAGTATTCTACACAGCTAAGATGCTTTTCAAGCTAGAGGTGCTAGGCTGTAAACACAGCACTGTTTTTCCCTACTGGAAACTCATTAATTCCAATGTATGTTTTGAGTAAAAGAGTAGTTTCCCTTTTTCTTTCTCCTTTTACGACCTTCTTAGAAAGACAGCTAACTTCCCTATCTCTTGTCATAGCATTGCCTTGTTATTCAAAGTGAGGTCCGTAACCTAACAACTTCAGCATCACGTGGGAGCTTGCTGGAAATGCAGTATCTTGGGCCCCGATCCTTACACACTGAATTAGAATCTTCATTTTAACAACTTGAGAAACACCGGTCTAGGTAAAGGCCTATTACAGGCCCCCATGAGTCTTTTCCCTTTATGGAAGGAGAGTCAAAGCAGTGCCCAGCTGTGAAGAATCAAAGACTGAGCAAAATAAACACATGGTTTTGACTGTTTTAACTCACTATCAACATTTTTTAAAAGTTTTATCTGAAGGCCACTCCAGCTTCAGAAAGATATACTGGATCCTGTTGAAAGCTGAGTCTAAAAACAATCCTTTCACTATTCACAATGTGATAATCACATTGAGAGGTATTTTAGAGTAACTTCTGTGTCCCCAGTGCCTCACTCAATACAATGGGAGATTCATAAAATGCACATTAACCAAACACTCATTATCAAGTGCCTTACTTTTCCCTGGTTGTGGTCATCCGACATTTCGGATGCCTAATATTCCAAAAATCCCTTCAACTTTTCAATCACTTTCACATCTATCATATTACTTTAACATCACATATTCAAGTGGATATCTATTGTCTTTTTTTAACATATTAGGAAACTGAAGCTTGAAGTTGTTTAGTGACTGCCCAAAGTCACCAGCTGGCTAAAGGCAAAGTTGGTATACTTGGGACCTTCTTCTAAAACTATGGTCTGTATATTTAAGATACTTGTAGAGCATCATATTGTTAGGGAACATCTTAAAGCAACGTAGGCTTATATCCTGACACTACTCTATTGATGGGATCTACTGCAGCGAACATCTCTGTGTATGTCACTCAGCAGGAGAAATATATAAAGAGGCGTTTTCAGATTTTACTAGACAATATGGTATGATGAAAGAAACGGATAGTGAGCCAGAGAACTTCTCTGAAATAACTGCTATAGGGAGGTGTTTTCCAATCCTCTAGAAAATCAGAACAGTTCCCAGAGGGAACAGATTAGAGCCAAACACTTCCTCCATCTTCTAAATAGCAGAATCTCTGCCATGGAGGACATAATTGGGTGTTTGCTCATTATCCTCAGGGTGTGATTTGGCCTGGTTTTTGGCTTAAATGAGGAAAGGAAGATGGGAAACTGAAGTAGCCCGCTGTTTCAGGACACACAGCTCAGAAACCTGGCACCATGGAGACGTGTACAGACTATTTATGAAGGGCAGGCAGCCTAGTATGAAGGAAGGATCTTTATCTGTGGTGTGAATCATGCCTGTACTGACAGAATATTGGAAAACCATCCCCCTTGAGTAAAGTACTATGCATGTCTCCATAGCTGCTCTTATTCCAATTATAGAAGACAGGGAAGCAGGATTTTATCATTATACAATGTATACATGATTGAAACATCACACTGTAATCTATATGTACATATAATTATTTTGTGTCAATTATAAATAAAAGTTAATTGACAAAACAGAAGAGAAAGAACCTGGTTTTATAAGGATTTTTAAACTCCACCTGGTCAAGAAATAGTACCAATCTAAATCTAAAAGACTGGAAGTTTCAGCTGTTTTCTGTAGAGTCCATTTCCTTATAAGAAAAAGAGTGAAGTGAGTAAAGGAGCCTGTAGCAGCCAAATTAAATTTTGGCTAAACATCAATTTCTTTTTTATTAGAGTCAGAAATGTCTCCCCTTAGTAAAAGTTGCTCTGGGGCAAAAAAGAAAGGTCTAACTTCTCCTCAGCTTACTTAAAAGGAAAAGGACATTTTGTCACCTGCAGTCAAGATAAGTTAAAATCCTCAGTGGCCAGCTATGGTAGTAGGACTACCCTATGTGGACCACCATGGTGTAGACCACCTCAGCTCAGAAACCAAAAAGTACCTGGAGCAAAACATTCAGAAACGGATTCAATTCTAGCAGTGGGATGGAGTTTTCTATTGCCTACTCTCTCATTCCTTTCTTAATGGATAGGGGAACTTTTGGAGTTTAAAAAGACTTATAAATTGCACCTTTCTCTCCCTTCCTGAATTCCAAGTCACTTAAGAGACAGAAGAGAAACAGGACAGGGATAACCATCCACATTATGATCAAACCTCAGAACTGGACAGGTGGTGCTGAACATCCTCAGGGCCTCCCAGAGATGGCTATTGCTGACAAACTGAGAACACAAAGAATCATACTTCAAATCAAGCTTTCTGCGGGTAGCTTGCTCAGGAGAAAAGGGCGAGAGGAAGGGACGGAGCTGGAACAGCTCATTCCTCTGTCAAATAATTAGAAATCAGCCCACCAGCACCTGGAGGAAGTAGGAAAAGAGCAGCCAAGAGTGTTGCACTAATGGATGTCCGTCCACATTGAAGGAAATGTGAGAAAAGGAGAACAAATGTTCCCACACTCAACCTTACTCAGGCTTTCATTCCCTAAAGCCATTGGAGTAACCGTCAAGCCAGTGAAAAACTAGAAATGGAGTTAACCCCCAAAGGTGTTTGCACAATATCAGGACAGATCAACTCCATTTTCAAAAGACTACTCTACAGCAGCAACCATTGCCTCATTTAGGAATTTATTGGGTCAGCTAAGAATAGATTTTGCCTCCAAAATGTTCTGAAATGGATCAAAGTCATGCAATAGTTGAAATTTCTAGGACCACTCTATTATTCAAATCCTAACCTTCACTTGCTATTCTATTTCTAATTCCAAATTACTTCCCGCCACATTAACTAACAGCCAGCAGAGGTTCTGCAATGAGATCAAAGGTACTCCAATAATAAAATGACAGCAGTAAGAGTCCTCAAATTTGAATATAAACTCTCTCCCATTATTAATCTCCCAAGATATTAAGAAATTGAAAACACTTATATGACCCACTTTTAAAGTATCCCAAATTAAACCAAATAAAATTGAAGACCAAATGAAAATTATCCTACCATTGAAAGATAAATTACAAATATTAATATTTCAAGTTAAATTAAGGTCCGACTTCTTATTCTGCACAGTCACAACTACAGAGCTTCTCTATTAGAAGACTTGATGGAGTTGTTTTTTTTTAGCAGGTACAGCAGTTTCTGTATTCTAATGAATGAGGTATAGTTTCTTTAAAGCCTGTGGATCTGAATTTATTCCAGAACATCTGATGAGCCCCACTTTTCAAAATTCCAAGGGGTTACTAAGAAATGCAGATAGCCCTGACTCCATCTTCAATTAAATTCAAAATATAAAGTAATCCTCATCTCCTAAGCAGTTATTCCGGGCTAAATTATATTCTTAGACAAAAGCCTTAAGTGTTTTCAAAGATCATAGCAGAGACTTCATAGTATCTGAGGGATGCCAGGTAGATTTTCAAAATCCTGCTGTCTGCTTAACTAGGATGCCAGTCTTTTATGGCAGATTTCAGAGTCCACAAGTTTTGAAACACAACACAATGGGAGACCTCTCTGAAAAAGAGACTATTTTTGTCATTATGTATTGACCACATTGGAGGACCAGGGAGAGGGGAATTGGGGGTGACACTTATGCATGTTTTCACCTCTCATAGGAAGATGTGTGGGATAAATCTTGCCTTCCTGCAAAGCTGAGAAGTTTATAATACTGGTAGCATTAGCTCTCAAGTCGAATTTTGGATGACTTTCTTTCTGAATCAGCATATTCAGTTTTTTAAATTCCTTCTCCCCTTTGGACTCTGTTTCTAGTTCACCAATGATAAATTTAAGGCTAACTCCACATTATAATACCCAAAGTATCTTTTGTGCAGACATTTTCATTCCATTGCTCACTGGCTTCTTCCACTGCCTTTTGTCATGGAATTACTTTGGTCAGTGGTTCTGAACCAGGAATGATTTTTATCTGCAGTGCATATTTGACAGTATCTAGAGACATGATTTATTCTCACAACTTGTGGTGGGGAGGGTATGCTAATGGAATCTAGGGCATAGACACCAGAGATGTTGCTAAACTGCCTACAATGCACAGGAAAGCAACTCCACAACACAACAAGGAATTACTTTGCCCAAAATGTCAATAGTGCCAAAATTGAGAAGGCTTGAATTAAGATAATTAAATAGGTTTCACAGAGAAGTTGTGCCCCTGATTCCCTCACACTATAGTTGCATTTGGAGAAAGACCTAAGATGATTCTTGAACTGTAGCTGCTACTGAAGTTTTTAAAAGCTTGAACCCTTAAGACTCTAGGGCAGACCAATACCCATGACACAGGCCCTTTGTGATGCTGTCTTGCCTTAGCTTCTGAATGTTCCCAGTTTTAAACAGCTTTCCTGTCTTTTTCATTTGCAATGTGTCTCTTATGTCTAATCTTGTGGTTCCCTTCAGGAAACTCAGATGAGTTTCTAATATGTTAAAATATTTACTTTGATCTTTTCCTTCTTGAATATATGCAGACTAGAATGGTTTGATGGAATCGAAAGTCAACTTTACTTCCTTTATTTTCTTTGCTTTGTGACCTAGACATGTTTTTATTCTAACATATTCCTCAAAACTGTATGGAGGATTCTTCCATGAGAAAAACAAAACAGCAAGTTCTGAGTCGGTGAAAATTGTCCACTGGCCAAGACATCCACCTGTACTTTATATATCCAATAATAGTGCACATTTTTCTGGTTTTCTCTTGTTAATTCTGTCAAGATTTTTGTACCATTTAGTATAGCTGGCCCATTCTTTCAAGGGCAGTACCCCAATTGCTTTCACTACAGACTCTGTCAATGGTATTGAATGAATTTCTTACAGTTTTGGCTCCTTCTGATAGTCTGTTCTAGTCTTCTCTCTAAAAATCTTGCCTATCTTCCTCTGTTGGATGTCTCTGAGCCCTGTCACCATACTAAATTTTAGTAGCTACTAAAATATATCTCCTTTTGACAATTTTCTCCTTGCAGACAGTTAGATATAGTTGCTTAACCTACAGTCAATACTAGCCTTCAATATTTCATTTTCTTCTTCATCTATGTCCATCCAAATATCTCAATCTTTCTCCTACAGAAATGTTTCTCTCCTTCTAGCTTATATTTCCACTCTTTCATTCCCACAGTAAGATTGAAGCACACTTGAGAAACCACTACACTTTTCTCCTTTATAATCCCTAGAGATAATCTCATTCCAAGCCTTTTAAATAGCCTTTAGGTTGACAGTAACTTCAATGAATTGTTTCCCTGCTTCATCCCTAGAAAATGGCTTTTATTTTATCTAAAAAGGCTCTATTTCTTCTTGTGTTTTTTTTTTTAATTAGATTCTACCATACTTCTATAGGTCAATCCACAGTTTTGGCCTCTGAATTCTGGAACTATGGTCAGACCTTATGTCTTTAAAAATCCAGAGCTAACTTGAGACCTCTTGGGACCTTGTAACAAGAGGTAGGTCTTGAAACTGTGGACAAGCTACACAAGCTTAAAATTACTCTTGGCCAAGGATGGTGGCTCATGCCTGTAATCTCAGCACTTTGAGAGGCCAGTGCAGAAGGATCATTTGAGGCCAAGGGATCAAGACCAGCCTGGGTAATAGAGCATGACTCTGACTCTGCAGAAGCAAACAAACAAAATACAGTAATTTATTTGGCTGGGTGTGGTGGCATGTGCTTGTAGTCCAAGCTACTTGGGAAGCTAAGGTAGGAGGATCACTTGAGCCCAGGAGTTTGAGGTTGCAGTTAGAGCTATGATTGTGCCACTGCACTCCAGCCTGGGTGACAGAGTGAGATTCTGTCTCTAAGAAATAAAAAATTTAAGAAAAGATAAAGTCGATAAATTGAAAAAAAAAAGATAGACAAATTTACAGATAAATAGAATAGGAAACTTGGTTGTAGTCAAAAGTGCTAGACCCTAGATTTTGCAGAAAAACACGGTCAAATAGCTAGATTGTTCTGCCTCCAAGTGTCTGAAAGAAAGCATGTTTACAAACTTCCTTTTTCCTAAAATCACATTTTGCCTCAGTTGCACTTGCTTATCAGGACTTCCATGGCCTATCGGCCAAATTGAAAACTGCATTATTAAATTATCACACAATCCTAAAGCCTCTTGATCGAAGCCCTGCTAGAAATTTACACCTCGGGGCACTATTTTGCTCCCCAAATACCAGTCTTTGTCAATATCTCAATGTTTTCAGCCAATGTAACAAGTTTTAATATTTCACCACATTAAACTACCTCTCAGAACCACAGGCTCCCCTCTTACTACATGCGCGGTGAGACAAGAATGGATATCCTAAGAGAAAGGCAAGAGGAAGGGACTTAGCCAGCACGCCCAGTTCTGCTGCCAGGCACATCAATTAGAATTCACCTTTTCCTCGCTGGTAAGGGATGAGTGAAGCGACAGAAACAGACTAGTGTTGTTATGCAAGCCTCTCCACATGGAGAAAACATCAGAAATGGGGAGTTAGCATCCCTAAAACAATGAAGTAGACTGGAGACTACATTAACATAATAACATATTAAAGTTATATTAAGAGACATGGACAATGCTAACAAGAAAAAGGTGTGTCTGTTTTGTAGCCTCTCTACTACTAAAACTCTTAAAAAGCCCAAGCCTACTCCTGCAAGGACAGGAGGATCTATTGTAAGGATCTAAGCCACCTTTCCTGAATGGATTGGGACCCTCTCAGGATGGAGCTAGGATACTGAGAAGGAAGTTAAAGTGATATAAAGGAACAAGGAAAATATGGGAAGAAGAGAGAAGAAGGTGAGAGCCCAGAGAGAAAAGGACCTCCTGGAATCCTAAAACTGACTCTTCATGGTCTGAAAAGGACCCATAGGGAAAGATAAAGATAAATTATCATCAACTTTGAGAATCTGGGTATTCATAATTGGCCACCCTGTGACTTGCCTTCTCATACAGCTGATCACTCATAAGTCGCTGTGCTTCACACCATGTCTGTCCTAAGCTCCAGAACTGTCTACAGTTGTGAGCCGTGATTGTACCATGTCATCCATCCAATAGATCACAACCAATGCACACTAGAGCAGAATAGAGTAGAATAGAAAATAATATGGCTTACTGCATGTAGTGAGGATAAGTACTGTTTTGTGAGATTGGTTTCACTTTGATATTTGTGTCTGTATGCAATGCATCACAATACAAAATATATTTTTCTCTGTGGTCTGTGGTTAAAAATGTCTGAAAAGCACTAGTTTACATGGCCTCTTCCTTGGAATGTTTCTGTGGTTCATCAAATGAGAAAAAATATTTTATTTTCTTACACCCACCAACATCTTGTTCTACTCTACAATATAATAATATGACCATTCACCTATCCTCAAGCAATGGTGAAGTCATCCTTATTTTCTCACAGCCTAAATTCTTCCTTCTACAAAGTCTTCTGTGACTATTAGATGTTCCTTTCTAGAGGAACAGCAAAGAGTGTTTCTTTTTCTTATATGTTTTTCCCTTGCTTAGCAGCTATTAAATTCTAACTAAATAGATACTGAATGAATAAATGAATAAATATTTGAAGGACAGCATGCAAATCCAGAAAATGAAGTTTTTTCCCCCAGTTAATTCCCACTTATTCAAAACAATTGAAAATCAGAGTACTCAGATAAATTGATTATCTAAATTAAATGAGTTATTATTAGTGCTCCCCAAAATTTATCAGTTCTCAAACAATTTTCTAACTTGGCTCTATAATTATATTAACTACAAGTTCTTCTTTCTCTGAAAGTTAACTTATTATTCAGTTAACCTGTACTGACACTGTTGATCACCTGCAAAATGCAAGACAGTCTCCTTGTTGTGAAACAAAGAGAGCTAAACAAATTGCTCCTCTGAAGGCCCTTATTGTCCTATTAGCCTAGTTACATGGCTCTTGTCTTATTTTTTAAGTAAGATTCCAGTTGAAAGATATTTTCAGTTGTAAAAATTCTAGAAAAATCAGTCTTTAGTGCACATTTTTTCCTCAAGGGGTAAATGGAATGGTAGGAAACTCTAATTTCCTCAAATGGGGACTCTCCTTTATTCAGATAGACCTAATTCTGAACTTTTACTCCAGTAATGAGATTCTTGAAGAATTAATGCTCAGAAAGCTGAACAATAAAGTCTAATGTACTTGTTTAGAACATCAGAATACCCAATATCTGTAGTGTCACATAACATATTTCTCTATATCTTCCAACCACTTTCTTGGTATTAAATTTTTAAAGCTTGGGATATCATGAATACTGGTAGGTTCACCCTGTGAGGAACCTACACACTGATTTATTCCTTTATTTCTCTCTCAATCTCATTCTATACGTATGACTAACATCTATTAACAATAAAGTTTGTATGGTCATTTCACTTTAACTTTCAAAAAACCTCACCTGAAAAGACTTTGAATGCAGAGAAGTGATGAGACTCGGCGAAAAATAAGCAGTCATCTAAGAAGTAGGGCATGGTGAATCCCTGCTATCCATCTCAGAATGTTTGAGGAGATGTAGGTCTTAGTTGCCCTGCATAGTGCTTTGTTGAATGTTCTGATAAGTGAGTGTTTAATTAATAAGACGCACACCTCTAGAAGCTGTTAATTAACTCTTTGGGGCCTTTAGGGTATGAATCAGTAAGTCAACATGGTTTCTACGCAGTATGACACTCTTGAGAAATAGGAAGAATCATGAAGCTTCCAATAGTGATCAACAAATTTAGAGTCATTTAGAACTCTAACAAGTAAGCTGAAATACCACCCTAGAATTTTGTCTTAATTTATTTCCTTCTGTATTCAAATACTTTAAATCTGATTGATCCCACAGTATTAATAATTAGGGAAAATCTTTTATCCATGCCTTCAGAGAAGAAAGAGTAGGCCAAGGACCCATTTTCAATCCACTCTTAGAGAGGGCTAAAATTAGCAATTGGCTTTGCATAGGAACCCATTTTTTTTCTAGTAATACAGAAATATGTAACTACATCTAAATCTAATGCCCCCCACTTCACAAACACACATTAGAGGGATTCAATAACCAAAAATTTTTCCTTTCTTTTTTTTGATTGAGAGAAAAGTGGATTTATTTAAACAAGGATAAACTCTTGAGGGGCACATAACATAGTGGTTATATGAAGCCTTTGAGGTCACTATGCCAGTGTTCAAATTCTAGTCCTGCAGCCTGATAAATTTTTGTAGATACCACTACCCTATAACCTTTTCCTCACTCAGCCCATTGAGTCAGAGATGTCCACCATCCAGTATGGCTGAAATGAAAAGTAAAAGCTCAGATTTTTAGTTTCTAATTTTTATAAAATCGATAGCAGAAACAATTACTTATATTTCTATATTTTGAAGAATTTTTTAAAGAATTGCTTGAGAAGCAAAAGTCTAAGTCTGTAAAGGAAAGAGGCTTAAGGTTTTTCCAGAAACAATGTGTATTAGGCTGTTCTTGCATTGATATAAAGAAAAACCTGAGACTGGGTAATTTATAAAGAAAAGAGGTTTAATTGGGTCACAGTTCTGTAGGCTTTACAGGCAGTATGGTGCTGGCATCTGCTCAACTTCTGGGGATGTCTCATAAAGCTTACAATCACTGCAGAAGGTGAAGAGGGAGAAGGCACATCACATGGTGAAAGCAGGAGGAAGAAGGAGAGAGGTGGAGGGGCAGATGCCACACACTTTTAAACAACCAGATCGCATGAGAACTAACTCCCTATTGTAAAGACAACACCAAGCCATGAGGCATCCACTCCCATGATCAAAACACCTTCCACCAGGCCCTACCTCCAATATTGGGGATTACAATTCAACATATGATTTGGGTGGGGATACAGATCCAAACTATATCATTCTGTCCCTAGTCCCTCTCAAATTACATATTCTTCTCACATTGCAAAATACAATCATGCCTTCCTGACAGTCCCCGAAAGTCTTAACTCATTCCAGTGTTAATTCAAACGTCCAAAATCTCATCTGAGACAAGGCAAGTCTCTTCTACCTATGTGCCTATAAAATAAAAACAAGTTATTTACTTCCAAGATACAATGAAGGTATGAACATTGCATAAACATTGCCATTCCAAAAGGGAGGAATTGGCCAAAAGAAAGGGGCTACAGGCCCCATGCACATTCAAATTCCAACAGAACAATCATTAAAATTTAAAGCTCCAAAATAATCTCCTTTGACTCCATGTCCCACATCTAAGACACATTGGTGCAAGGGGTAGGCTCCTAAGGCCTTGGGCAGCTCTGCCCTGTGGCTTTGCAGGGTTCAGCCTCCAGGGCTGCTCTTATGGGTTGGAGTTTAATGCTTGTGGCTTTTCTGGATGCAGGGTGCAGCTGCTGGTGGATCTACCATTCTGAGGACTGGAGGATGATGGCCCCCTTCTCACAGCTCCAGTAGGCAGTGTCCCATTGGGGACTCTGTGGGGGCTCCAGCCCCACATTTTCCCTTGGCATTGCCCTAGTATAGGTTCTCTGTGAAGGCTCCACCCATGCAGTAGCCTTCTGCCTGAGCACCCAGGCTTTCTCAAACATCTTCTGAAACCTAGGTTGCTAAGCATTCTTCATTTTTGCATTCTGTGCACCTACAAGCTTAACACCATGTGGAAGCCATCAAGGCTTATGGCTTCTATTCTCCAAAGTGGCAGCCTTGGCTGTATCTGAGCTCCTTTGAGCTGAGGCTGGAGCCAGAATGGCTTGGATGTGGGTAGAAGTGTCCTGAAGCGGCATAGGACAGCAGAGCCCTGGGTCTGGCCCATGAAACCATTCTTCCCTCCTTGACCTCTGTGTCTGTAATGGGAAGTGCTGCCTGGGAGATCTCAGAAATGCCTCCGAGGCCTATTTTCCATTGTCTTAGCTAGCAGCACTTGGCTTCTTTTTAGTTATACAAATTTCTCTAGCAACTGGTTGCTCCACAGACTGCTTGAATTCCTCTCCCCAAAAACCATTTTCTTTCTCTGCCACATGGCCAGCCTGCAAGTTTTCCAAATTTTTATGCTTTGCTTCTCTTTCAGATAAAAGTTCCAACTTTAAATCATTTCTTTGCTCCTTCATCTGACTGTAGGCTGTTAGAAGCAGTCACGACACACTTGAACAATTTGCTACTTAGAAATTTCTTCTGCCAGACATCCTAGGTCATCACTCTCAAGTTCAAACTTCCACAGATCCCTAGGACTTGAACACAATCCAGTCAAGCTCTTTGCTAAGACATAACATGCATAACCTTTACTCCAATACACAATAAGTTCCTCATTTCCATCTGAGACTTTGTCAGACTTGCCTTCACTGTCCATATCACTATTGGTATTTTGGTCATAACCATTTAATCAGTCTCTAAGAAATTCCAAACTTTCCCTCTTCCTCCTTTCTACTGATCCCTCCAAACTCTGTCAACCTCTGCCCATTACCCAGTTGCTTTCACATGTTCAAGTATCTTTATAGCAGCACCCTTCTCTTCAGTACCAGTTTTCTGTGTTAGGCTATTCTTGCACTGCTATAAATACCTGAGACTGCATAGTTTATAAGAAAAAAGGTTCTCATTGTTCAATTCCCCAACATGGAACATGTATACATATGTAACTAACCTGCACGTTGTGCACATGTACCCTAAAACTTAAATTAAAAAAATAAAATAAAAATAAAAAAAGAAAAAAGGTTAATTGGCTCACAGTTCTACAGGTTGTACAGGAAGCATAGTGACATTTGCCTAGTGAGGCCTCAGGAAGCTTCCAATCATGGTGTAAGGGAAAGGGGGAGGAGGAACATCATATGGCAATAATGGGAGCAAGAGCAAGAGAGTGGGAGGAGATGCCACACACTTAAACAACCAAATCTTGTGAGTACTCTCTATTGCAAGAATGGCACCAAACCATGAGGGATCTGCCCCTATGATCCAAACACCTCTCACCAGGCCCCACCTTCAGCATTGGGGGTTATAATTCAACACGCAATTTAGGCAGGGACAAACATGCAAACCATATCACAACGCTTGGAAAGAACACACAGTTGGCCCTTAAACAACAGTGGTTTAAACTGCATGGTCCCCTTACACTCGGATTTCTTTTCAGCCAGACTCTGATCAAAAATACAGTATTCACGGATAGAAATTCACACATATGGAAGGTCAACTTTTCCTATATACTTGGGTCCCACAGGGCCAGCTGTGGCACTTTAGTATGTGTATATGTTGGTTTACAGGGGTTGTACTGTAACCAATCTCCCAGTCAGAGAAGAGCAAAGATGCCAAGTTGGTCAGGAAATAGAGAAATGGAGTGGGTATAATCTAGGAGGATGTGAAAGGATTAAGGAGGGAAGGGCTATGATAAGGGCTCACACAAGAGGGATCTGAGGAAGGGATCAAATTCAGTATTTAGAGACTTACTAGCATCTGTCTGAAGAGACCCCTCAATTGCCTTTGCAGGAAGTGAGTTCAATCAAGCCAGTACTTAACACGGTCTGTTGGTCTTGGGCTTTGCACAGCATGGTAATATCAGAGTAGTGAGACTTTTATATGGCAGTTTAGGGTTCCAAGACACCAAGGTAGAAGCTGCAAGTTCTCTTAAAGCTTGCACCTGCAGCTTGCATAGCATCACTTCTGACATATTCTATTGAGCAAGTAGTCACAGCAAACTCAGATACACGGTAGGGGGAAATAGACTCTACCTCTTGATGAAAGGATTATCAAAAATTTTAACCATCTTTACTCCATCACACCTTTTTAAAGAGGTGATACATGAGTTGAGACATGAATACTAAGAATAAATGAGACTTGAAACATTTTGAAGACATATATTCTGGAGAAATAGAATAGTATATATAAAAGCTAAGTCCCCTTGGATGGGAGCTTCGCATTTTCAAAAAGCAAGAAGTAGGTGAGTATGGCTGGAGCATAGTGAATGAGAGGGAGAGAGTTAAGAGATGATATAGATGAAAAAGACAAATTAATTTTCATTGTTAAAAAGCATTACTTATAGTTTTAAAAAACTATAATTTTCCTTAATACTGCAAATTCCTAATTCCTTTAACTCTTTTAACTGTTTCTTTATCTTCTTGGAATATCTATTTTTGACTTTTTCTGATTTTCTATTATAAAAAATGAAAATTTAACTGTCATCAACCATATGTGTACATATATCTCCCATCTTCCTCAAATAAATCTATAACAAAAATTTATCTAAATTAGTATTTAATGTTTTCACTATTAAAAAACACACTTTTTAGAACTGATTTGTGTGGTATATTATTTTCTTCTGTAGCTTTTTGTTTTTATTTGAGTTATAACTGCCTTATTGTTTCATTTGCTTGCTTTTTAAAGTAATTATCTAAATTTAGGTCCAAATTTTTTGACAGAAATATAAAATTCTTCTCATTAAAATAAAATACATTAGATAATTTATCTTTCTTCCTTTTGAAAAAAAAATTTCTTGGAGATATCTCTACTAAAGCTCTCTGTGCTTCTACTTCATTCAGCCTTGTTATAGCCTAAACATGCTTTATAGCAGTTAGCATGGAACTTTCCCACACCATTTATGTCTAACTTCTCTTTACCACATTCTCTTATTGAATTGAATTATTTGTTTCTCCTTTTCTTGATTCATTGCCACATTTTCATATCCTTTATTTCCTGAAAGAGGGGGTATGAAAGATTTAAAAAATATAGCTCTTTCACTTAACAATTTACCCCAGATCAGAATTCAAGAATAGATTTATTTTCTCTCAGAATTTGGAAAGACTTGCTTACTTTTCTTTAAACTCTCAACGTTGTAGAAAATGTCAGTGTCCTTAAAGAAAGTCAATTTGTATATGACTTCCTTTTTTTCTTGGAAATTTTCACATTTAAAAAATTCCCTATTGCTTTGAAATGATATGATATGATTTCTTTTGTAAACATTCTGCTGCAATCTTGGTGAACACTTTCCATCTGGAAATCCAAGACTACATTTGGAGTAATTTTCTTTTATTATTCCTTTGATATTTTCTATAAATTCCCTCTGTATTCTCTTTCTAGAATTTCTGTTAATCAAAAATTCAAGTCTTTTTATTCTGGGATTTTTCTTTTTTTGTTTGTTTTAAAATAATATCATCCTATCCCTTTTATCTGTATTTTCTTTCTGGAATTTCTATTGTTTAGAATTGGTTTTCACATGTCTTTACTTTCTCTCTCTCCTATTTTCCATCTCTTTGTTTTTCTGCGTTACTGACTGGGTTGTTTCTACAATTTTATCTTCACTCCTTCAGTTAGATTGTTTAATTTTTGCTCTCTGTGATAGGCAGAAGAACCGCCCCCCAACCCCACCACCCCCTCCGTCAACCACAAAGATAACCAAGTGCTAATCCCCACAACCTGTGAATATGTTGTGTTACATGGCAAGGAATTAAATTCACAGATGAAATTAAGGTGGCTAATTAGCCAACTTTAAGGTAAGTTGGATTATCTAGATGGACCCAATGTAATTATAAGAGGCCTTTAAATATGGAAGAGGGAAGAAGGAGGGTTAGAGTCAGAGTCATGCAATGTGATGAAGATTCAATATGTCATTGCTGGAAGTGAAGACAGAAGGGGGTCAAAAGCCAAGGAATGCAGTCAGTATCTAGAAGCTGGAAAAGGCAAGAAAACAAATTTGGTCCTGCTGATACCTTGATTTTAGCCTACTAAGACCCATTTTGGACTTCTGGATATAAATTTGTGTTGTTTTAAGCCACTAAATGTGTGGTAATTTGTTACAGCAGTAATAGAAAACTAATATGCTATCATATTTTCAATTTCTAAGACCTATGTATTATTTCTTAATATTACCTTTTCATAGAGTCCTATTTATGTAGAAGAATTTCTTTTGTCTTTGAGGTTATTAAATATGAAGGGTAATGTTTTCTTTGTATTGGATCTTTTTCTCTGAAATCTTTTCTTTTATTCCTTTTTATACTTGTCTTGTATATTAGAGCCTTCCTTCAGAAGTCTAAGGTCCTGGATTGTGCATTTATATTTAAGAGTAGGGCACTGAAATGATGGTTAGGAACTCTTTTAGCCTGGACAGTTTTTTTGACCAGTGCTCATTACCATAGGTAAACAGGCAGGAATCTGGCCATTCCTTTAGGAGACTCTTAAATGCCAGTGAGTGTTTTTTTTTTCTTTTTTTTATTATACTTTAAGTTTTAGGGTACATGTGCACAACGTGCAGGTTAGTTACATATGTATAGATGTGCCATGTTGGTGTGCTGCACCCATTAACTTGTCATTTACATTAGGTATATCTCCTAATGCTATCCCTCCCCACTTCCTCCACTACACAACAGGCCCCAGTGTGTGATGTTCCCCTTCCTGTGTCCATGTGTTCTCATTGTTCAATTCCCACCTATGAGTGAGAACATGCGGTGTTTGGTTTTTTGTCCTTGCGATAGTTTACTGAGAATGATGGTTTCCAGCTTCATCCATGTCTCTACAAACGACATGAACTCATCATTTTTTATGGCAGCATAGTATTCCATGGTGTATATGTGCCACATTTTCTTAATCCAGTCTATCATTGTTGGACATTTGGGTTGGTTCCAAGTCTTTGCTATTGTGAATAGTGCCACAATAAACATACGTGTGCATGTGTCTTTATAGTAGCATGATTTATAATCCTTTGGGTATATACCCAGTAATGGGATGGCTGGGTCAAATGGTATTTCTAGTTCAAGATCCCTAAGGAATCGCCACACTGACTTCCACAATGGTTGAACTAGTTTACAGTCCCACCAACAGTGTAAAAGTGTTCCTATTTCTCCACATCCTCTCCAGCACCTGTTGTTTCCTGACTTTTTAATGATTGCCATTCTAACTGGTGTGAGATGGTATCTCATTGTGGTTTTGATTTGCATTTCTCTGATGGCCAGTGATGATGAGCATTTTTTCATGTGTCTTTTGGCTGCATAAATGTCTTCTTTTCAGAAGTGTCCGTTCATATCCTTTGCCCACTTTTTGATGGGGCTGTTTGTTTTTTTTCTTGTAAATTTGTTTGAGTTCATTGTAGATTCTGGATATTAGCCCTTTGTCAGATGAGTAGATTGCAAAAATTTTCTCCCATTCTGTAGGTTGCCTGTTCACTCTGATGGTAGTTTCTTTTGCTGTGCAGAAGCTCTTTAGTTTAATTAGATCCCATTTGTCAATTTTGGCTTTGTTGCCATTTCTTTTGGTGTTTTAGACATGAAGTCCTTGCCCATGCCTATGTCCTGAATGGTATTGCCTAGGTTTTCTTCTAGGGTTTTAATGGTTTTAGATCTAACATGTAAGTCTTTAATCCATCTTGAATTAATTTTTGTATAAGGTGTAAGGAAGGGATCCAGTTTCAGCTTTCTACATATGGCTAGCCAGTTTTCCCAGCACCATTTATTAAATAGGGAATCCTTTCCCCATTTCTTGTTTTTGTCAGGTTTGTCAAAGATCAGATGGTTGTAGATATGCAGCATTATTTCTGAGGGCTCTGTTCTGTTCCATTGGTCTATATCTCTGTTTTGGTACCAGTACCATGCAGTTTTGGTTACCGTAGCCTTGTAGTATAGTTTGAAGTCAGGTAGTGTGATGCCTCCAGCTTTGTTCTTTTGACTTAGGATTGACTCGGCAATGCGGGCTCTTTTTTGGTTCCATATGAACTTTAAAGTACCTTTTTCCAATTCTGTGAAGAAAGTCATTGGTAGCTTGATGGGGATGGCATTGAATCTATAAATTACCTTGGGCAGTATGGCCATTTTCACGATATTGATTCTCCCTACCCATGAGCATGGAATGTTCTTCCATTTGTTTGTAGCCTCTTTTATTTCATTGAGCAGTGGTTTGTAGTTCTCCTTGAAGAGGTCCTTCACGTCCCTTGTAAGTTGGATTCCTAGGTATTTTATTCTCTTTGAAGCAATTGTGAATGGGAGTTCACTCATGATTTGGCTCTCTGTTTGTCTGTTATTGGTGTATAAGCATGCTTGTGATTTTTGCACATCGATTTTGTATCCTGAGACTTTGCTGAAGTTGCCTATCAGCTTAAGGAGATTTTGGGCTGAGACAATGGGGTTTTCTAGATATACAATCATGTCATCTGCAAACACGGACAATTTGACTTCCTCTTTTCCTAATTGAATACCCTTTATTTCTTTCTCCTGCCTGATTGCCCTGGCCAGAACTTCCAACAATATGTTGAATAGGAGTGGTGAGAGAGGGCATCCCTGTCTTGTGCCAGTTTTCAAAGGGAAAGCTTCCAGTTTTTGCCCATTCAGTATGATATTGGCTGTGGGTTTGTCATAGATAGCTCTTATTATTTTGAGATACGTCCCATCAATACCTAATTTATTGAGAGTTTTTAGCATGAAGGGTCATTGAATTTTGTCAAAAGCCTTTTCTGCATCTATTGAGATAATCATATGGTTTTTGTCATTGGTTCTGTTTATATGCTGGATTACATTTAAGGTTAATATTGTTATGTGTGAATTTGATCCTGTCATTACGAAGTTAGCTGGTTATTTTGCTTGTTAGGTGATGCAGCTTCTTCCTAGCCTCGATGGTCTTTACAATTTGGCATGTTTTTGCAGTGGCTGGTACCGGTTGTTCCTTTCCATGTTTAGTGCTTCCTTCAGGTATCTCTCCTCTATATAAATGGCCCAATTATTCCATTTGCTAATTTTCCCCCCAAATTATATTAAAAGGCAAATGCTGTTTGCCTGCGTGTTAATAAATTATTAGCACTTCATATATAACACATATTGTACAACACATAGTTTATAAATTTGGAAAAATGTAACAACTGAGCAAATAGTATAGTGAGAAGACTAATATATATTGAGTACAAATGTAAACACATCATTACTCTTGCCTTATAAATGAGAAACTCAAGGGTCTTCAAGCTTAAGTAACTTATCCAAGGTCTGCTGTTCTAAAGGCCATATATACACTTTCCATACTGCCACTAACTTCTGTAGACCAGTGCATTTTTTTTCTATAGGTTGCTATGTAGCTATTCAACCAGATATATTAAAGTATTTATTTCATGTCTTTCATGTTTTAGTCTTCTATTGACAAAATGGGAAGCTCAAACTCCTGCAACCTTTCTTTTTCTCTTGGCTTTCAGAATTGATATGAGAATTAAGGCACCATCTAAAACATAGACACATCAAGAGGAGCTCTAGAATTACAAGTTAGCATAATTTACCATGAAGAATTGCTCCCCGGCTGGGGTGCACTGTGGCTGGAGCCCAGTCCAATGCCAGGAAGCCAGCAGACCCACCTTGTTGATAAAAAAAAAAAACTTCATTCTACATTTTACTGATATGCTTTGGGATTCAGTGGCTTCACTGTTCTCTCAGCCTTTGTTATTATTAATGCTTAATTTTAAAGGAAGAAGGGAGGATTTTGATGTGGGTGGCTTGCTTCTTCTTTTTGTTGTTGTTAAATGTAGCAACAAACAATCAAATCAAAGGAAGAAGAATACAAAGAAAATGGGTCGTGAATAAACAAAAAGGTCAGGACGTTAGTATTTAGTGCAATTTCTGGGGAGCTATTAACTACACCGTGATTGGCAGATTTAACAGTACCTTCTGCTCTCTTTTGCCAGCAACTATGCAATTATTCCAGGTGTTGTAGTGGAATGACTCTATCAAATTTTATAGGATTAATCAGCATGTAAATGTTGGCAGGCTTCAGACTCAGATCCGGACTTCAGGTGCAGACTTAGAACAGGTGGAGAAAAACACTTCATTTGTTTTTAAAAGAGATTTATAAATCGGCCATACAACCTCTGCCCCAAGGCAGAGCTTATTTTATGACATTTTACTCAGAACAATCTATCTTTAAAGTGCACAAAAACTTAACTGTGTACTAATAAGGTAAAAATGATCTCAGAATTTATAACATGCATGAATATTACAATTCCGTATTTCCTCTTTGAAATTCCGGGAAATATTTCGTATATTGTTGTTTTGGGTCTTGGTTGGGGGAAACATAAACATTTCTTCTGTTGGTTATAACTTCATAGTATGTCATAATGTTGCTGAAACACCAGGGGTTTGGTCTAGATCCCATTGCCTTTCACACAGAAAGCCAATCACTGAGAGTAATATTACCAGGGAAGAAGAGTTTATTCAAGTGCTGCAGGCGAAGAGACAGGAGATAAGTCTCAAATCCATCTCCCTAGTCAACTAAAATTAGAGGTTTATATGACAGGGAAGAAATGTTACTAGGGAGGAGTAAGGAAGGGGAGTAGGCTAACACACAGCAGATGGTCAGTCAGGCAATAATGGCAATGAGGGGGTCTGGTGTCTCCTGTCCAGATGTGGTGACATGGTGAGTTTCAGTTCTTTGATACTATCTGGGGTTGTGGGGAGGAGGGGGGTGCTAAAGGTAGATTTACTGAGAAAGGAATTCACATAAGACAAAAGTTTCAAGCTTTAAGACAGGGAGGGTCAATTTCTGTTTATTTAAAAAAAAAAACACCTGTAAACATCAGTTCTATGGAGAAATTGGGATGATTTCAATAATAGTAAACAGAGACAAACAGGGTCTCTATTAGTTCCATCTGTCAAATTTTTCTTTAGTGATGTCACAGAGATGTTCAAGAGGGATTTGGGACACTGTGTGAAGCTCATTGTCTGATTAACTATTTGGCATAAACTGCTCTACTCATGAACTTCCAATGCTCCTAATTGCCTACAGCAGTGGTTTTCAATTATTTGTTCTTGCCAGAACTAATTTAGGCACTCTATGAGTAACAACAGCTCACTCCAGCAGGAACACTCTGCACCTTGGGGATGGGGCATGACAGAGCGGAGTAGGAAAGTGACATTTTGAGAAGCTCTTTTAGATGTTTGGATATCCCCTCTTGCCTCTGGCCCCAGCAGAGAAGCACTATCCCTGAGTATGGATTTCAAACATCTCGGTTTGCTATTTAAGGCTGTTCAATTCTAGTTTAACCTAGCTACCCAGCCTCACCTCAAACCCCTTCTCTAACAACATGAATTTCAACCAGACAGCTTCTCCATTATACCTTCATTCCTGCCCTTAGCATTTTTTGTTGCTGTTTCATTTTCAAACCAAAGACTAGTTCAAGCTCACCTTTTCTAAGACACTTTTCCTAGCATCCCCCAAACAACTGTATTCTGTTTGTACAGTCCTTGTTTGTATTACTTGTTTGATCATGAACAAGTATAGATCACAGACTCACTTGAAATGTATGTGGCATGTTCTGCAAATGCTGGATTTATAGTACGTACCTACCAATTTAGTAGCTCTACCATAGTTATTTAAAATGCCTTTTCCATTGTCTTATTTTTGTTCTGTTTCTTCCATGTTTTTTTGTTCAGTGGTAATTGAGAGACTATTGGGCTTCATCATTTTGAAAGAAGTTATTCTACAAGACACTTTGATTCAACTCTCCACTAAATTTACAGATGAGGTTCAGTGCTGAAATGACTAGCTTAGTCCCACTGGGGCTATCGTTCTTTTTCAATTGAAGATATTTGTTCTATCTTATTAATGATACCTCAAAACTTCAGCTAATGTATCAAATAACCCAATGCTCTTATATACCCAATATTAGTCATTATGATAAATAATTCATTCATCAAATCAATTCTAAAAGCATTAATTTTGTTGATGTACTAAATATACTAGTTAATAGTAACAGTTTCTACCTTGAAGGACAAAACAGTAGGTGAAGTTAGAAGTAAACTTAGATATCCTTGAACTCCTTTCTTCTGTGGGAACAAGGAGGGCAATATTTTTTTTTTGAGTTTTGTTTGTTTGTTTTTCAAGAAAAAGACAAAAAATGTAATCTGACCTAAATTTTAGGCTATCCTTTTTGTTTTATGGTACATGCCAGTAAAATAAAGAAAGAAAATCTCTCTCTCTTACAGTGCAATGTAATAAGTGTCTTCCTACATAAACTTAAATTTTTAACTGAACTCATCTATGTGATGAGAACAAGAAGCTCAAATACTAATGCCAGCAGATAAGAGGAGAATGAGCCCAGAAAGTGATAATAAGTGAGATGTTAAAAATTTATCAGAATCTGTATCCTCGTTTCTCATTTTTAACTGAAAATCCAGATCTGATTTAGAAAATAAACTGATAGGAACATGCAGTATAAATCAGAGCCTGAGAAATTGGAGGCTGAAGGACAGAGTAATGAAGAAAATGATGGATAGAGTATGAGCTGGGCCTTAGCAATGCAGTGGGAAGACCGGGATGGAAATGAGAGGATCTCTGGAGCAGGACACAGCAAGCCTTGGCCATTGCCTGTACCATGAGGAGAGATGGAGAGAACTAGGCCTGGTGACTGGGACGGCAGTGCTGTCATGAACCATGATAGGAAAAGCAAACTGTGTGTTTCACTCACCTAGAGAGTAAAGACATTGATATAAATTGGTTACTGGATCATTTTAAACTATAACTTTAAAAGGTGACCTTAGGTCTGTTGAAATGTGTTTGGAATTATGGTCATCTCATTCTAGGACAAATAACATACGGACTTGAATTATTATTACTTAAATGCCTCTTGTGGTTCTGGCTCATTTTGATTGTATCTGCAGACAATGGCTATTCCTTTTACAGAAACAGATCACTGAGCCAAAACTCAGCTTTTTGGCAGTCAATAATCAGGAAGAAAAGAAACCCCAAAAAGGCCTTTGAACCACTGTAATAGATGCCAAGCACACAAAAAAATTAGAAACTTCTGCATTTTACTCAGCATTCATTTCCTTTATAGGTACCATGAGAGTTTAATGGAGCAATTATGAATGGGTATTTGTATGGGCCAGAATAGATAAGATTATGCTGTTGAAAAAAGAAAATCAGTGGCCTAAGACAGCAAAAATATTTCACATTACATGTCCATCACAGGTTGACAGAGTGACTCTGCTTCTCACAGTCCCTCAAGACACAGTTGAGCATTTCATCTAGATATAGGCTTCTTGTAACATCACAACAGGGAAAAGACACAGTGATTTGAAAACAGGATTTTAAAACATCAGCCCAGAAGTGACACACATCACTTCTGTTCACATTTCTGTGGTCAAGGCAAATCTCATGATTACACTTAGTTCAAGGGATTAGGTAACTATAATCCTAGCATGTATCTGGAAAAGAGAGGATTGGGAAATAGTCAGATAGACAACATCCCACTGGTATGAGATAATGTTTGTAGAAGTACTATTAAACTAGATGCATTACACACATGTAAAGTTTTAATATCATTGTGCTACGAAGTGCCTTGTCCTTTATGTGGCATTTAGTTGTTTCGCACTTAGAGAATAATCACCCTGTTATGTATTTTCTACTTCATGGAATGACATCATTCTCTCTGGAGTTTAAGCTGAACCCTCAAGCCTGAGCTGGATGCCCAAGGAGCTATGATAGTGCCCTATGCTTTCTTCCATGTCATAACGCCTAGGGTGCTTTGTAATTGGCACCTCAGGGCAAGAACTGAGTCAAAGCCTTCTTCAATCAATCATTGGCCAATTTCCAGAGGTCAGGCCATACTTTAGAGGCTGCTCAGTTGCCTCCTTGCCCCAGTGACTACACCTCAGTCTTTGTGCCCCTTGGGCTGCAAACTTGACTCTAGAGACAAATAACTTCAGGCATTTAGGCTAATCTTTAAATAATCCCTGCCACTGACACTGACTATAAATACATATGCTTGCTTACACATTTTATGTCTTAAAATGAGTCTTAGCTTTTATAATATGAAAGTAACGCAGTTCGGTGACTCCAGTTAACACAACTAAACTGTTAATATTCCTATTTGTCCTTGTATTTTTGTTGTATGAGCTTTAGATATCTTGGTAAAGTGACAACATAGAATTTCATGCTTCTGGGCAATGTATTTTTGAAGGGCAATTTTTCAGGTTTGTGTTTTAAATGTACCTACATACCAATTTAAAATTCCCTTTGAATAATTACACTGTCATACATCCTGTATCGGCTAGATTTTAAAGTACTGGTTCTATACTTATAAGAAGAGACATGATGGTTTTAACGTTAAACAAAACTTTCTTGCCTCATTTAAACAGCACTTACATTGCTATAATCAGAGAGTAATCTAGGCATGGCAGCAAAACAAGGATTGGATAATGCTTGAAAAGACCTATCAAAATCCCAGAAGACAACCAGAAAAATGTTCAAAGCCTTTCTAATTCTAATAGAAATTAAATTATTCATTTCCTCTTCTTGGGGCTTTTCTATCTTTGGACTGCAAAGCCCTACTTAATTCTTGGAGAGAAATTGCCAGTTAATTGGTTAACTAACTGTAGCCCACGGTAAAATCTCTCATTAACAAGTATGTAAAAAACAAGGATTGTACATAGCAGAGAGTCATAAGTGCAGTGTTTTGTTAATCTTTCACCAGAAATAATATTCCTTAATGTGCAGTTTTTCTGATCTTTCAAGTCTAATGGTCACTATGAAATGTGTCCCTTTTCCACCCTGGAAGAGGAAGGTGAGAAGTGATCAAGGCTATCAAAACTGATACCTGCTATCAAGAGTAAAGAGTCACGGATGAGTCTGACTCTTCCTTACCTTTTCCTCCAGGTTTTTACTCCCCTTATACCTTTCCCAAACCAGCTAAATTTCCCAAAAGTGAATTAAAAGATTGGTTTTATTTATTTAGAAAAATGGAAAATATGCTTTTCCTTCCTCCCCTTTCCAGACCTGGGAAAATGTTATCAACTTTCCAGCAGGAACCTGGTTTCTAGGTCTATCCAGGTTTCTAGCCATGGTCTGTTATATTTTCCTTCCTTCAACATATGGGAGTATGATCCGCCTTTAGAGCACACAAATACCATTTGAAAAAGACTTTGCATTAACATAACCATGACCCCACTGGAAAGTGCTTTTATCAATCATCTTGCATAAAGTTGTCCTCAAATACATCAGAGGAACAGGTTTCAGATTTCTTGTTGAGTTTTCCCCCATGTCAGTCCAGTTTCATAAATGATTGTTTCCTCAAAGACATAAACAAAATTCTTGTCCTTAAACTTTTCTAACCTGGGAATAGGCAAAAAGAAGGACCCAGGATGCCGATAGAGGCCATGCTCCTCCAAGCGAGCCACCATCCAACTGAGAACTGGTAACCATTTGATGCAAGGCAACCTGAGCTGTTTCGGCTCCCTGATGCTAGCTAACCACATGATGAGACCAGGCCAATTTCTTCTTCTACTGTTTGTTCCATTTAACCTTCCACCCAGAATGCACTGCTCCTCTTTGCTCTGCATAACCAGTCTACTCATCCGTCACTGTAAGAACCCCACCTGGAGTCTTTTCTGAATGACTGCTCAAGGGCAAGGATCGTGCCTTCTATTTCTTCTTATCTCCTAACCACCCTTACCAAACTACCATGTACATAAGGGATGATCTAGAATTGCCTTTTAAATATGCAAAAGGGCAGGGGCTTGGGAATGGAGAGAAAATGCAAACATTCCTATTACACAGGCTTTAAAAAATAACATATATGTTTTATAATATAAATTTTGGACTATTTATTTCTAAAATTGAACTTCCATCAACACTTCATCAGTCTCTTACTCTTTAGCCATGTTGCACATGTATAATAGTTTCTGTAAACATCAGCTTATATTCTCGAGAACAAATTGTAAACATTTTTAAATAAATTAGATTGATAGCTCTGCCAGAAAAGCCTAAACCCAATTTGATACTGAATTACATGTTTCTTGTACTCGCTGCTACATCTTCCTTATATCCTGGGCCTTCACGCGTCTTCCATGGCTTTAGAATATTTTGGCAATATCAGAGCATCTAATATTTCTTACCAACCATAACCCATACATTAGAAGACTATTCTGGAAATCTTTCTTGGAAAGCTCTTTATGCAGAAAATAACACTCTTCCTGCGGAACTGCAGAATGTTAATAAATGTGGCATATAAAAACAGCACCGTGATCATTTAAGCGTGGGAAACTTGAGTTAAATAAAGTTAAACAAATTACTTCATTGCAGAACTTTTTAGAACTTTTAGTATATTAAAGTGCAGTGTAAATAATGAATAGGAAGATAGAAAAGGCAGCATTTCCCAGCTTCTCACAATACAATTCAAGGAGCAGCTTTGAGGGCCAGGAAAATGTACCTACAGGGATTAGAATGTCTCTCTGTCCTGTGTCCTCTTTAGAAAGCTAATGCAGCCATAGTCCAAATTTCGTTGCACACCAAAATAGTTACTGCAAAAATTGTATTAGCCTGGAGGAATTTTCCAGTCTCCCTGGATAACATGACTGTTTTAACCTTAGAAAGTGTATTGAGAATTAATGATCAACTCTATTTGCCTGAATAACATGAAGGTTCAGACACTGAAAATAATTTCTGGTGAACACAGCATTCGATTCTTTCTCCTCACCATCTCCCTCATCCACCCAGAACTAATTCCCTTCAAATTAAAGATGTAGGAAAGAATAAGCCATGCAAATGTGCCTTCTGTAGTACTGACAATAATAAATATGGACAAAGAGTTTAGAAGCTGGTCAGTTTGAAGTAGGCAGAGGTTCATGGACCTGAAGATCTCAGGCTTTGTGTGAGAATTGGAATTTTTGCATCTTGTTTCTACCTTCCTCAGATTTTTACTGAGGAATTTGCTTCATTTTCCCAAAGCAAATTCAACATTTTAATATACATATAGCCAATCATAAAATCAACCATTTATTTTCGTTCCAACAGGACGACAGTACCTAATGAGTTTCAATAATTTTAAGAAATAAAAACAAAAGAAAAATGGAATTCAGAAGCTCCCTTCCTTTCCATGTACTCTAAGAATGTGAAATATACTTATTCCAAGTACGTGCAAGGATATTTCATCACCAGATCAGTATAACCTCAGAGAAATATGTCTTAAACCTTCAAGCTACAATACCCTGAGATGATGCATCAAAAGCCTGTTGGAAACAAAAGTTTGGATTCAGAGTGGCATGTGGATACCTGTTTTTCTCAGCAAAATAATTCAGCCATTGTAATTATTTTTAACAGAATTGGGCTTCACACTGTGGGATAATGAGCTGGAAAATGTATTTGTTTTAAATAAAGGCATTTTCACACTACAAGAACACACAAACATCTACGAAACCCAAATGCGCCCGTCCAGCGTGCCTGGTAAAAGAGCCAATTTGATGTTATTTCCAACTGTGTAGAAATAATTTGCTGCAAATTCAGGCTACAATGCAAACAGGTGCTTCTTGAAAGAAACCCCATGAGTCTGGAATTGCCAAGGGCTAGGACAGCTGGGAAACAGGAAGATGTTCTCTCTTAAATGGCACCTAAGTTTCTGGGGCCTATTGGAATCATGACTCCAAGCACTCACTACCATTAGGTTGGCCATTTGTAATCATAGAACCAGGCTGGTCCCTCAAATGAATCTTCTGATTTCACCAAAGCTGTGGATTTACACTGGCAATGCTAAGAAATCACATTTTAAACTGAGAAGGAATGAGAAAGTAATTCCCAAACAAGCCCCAGGAAGGCAGATAAGGGATGTCACCCCAAACTCCAACAATTTCACGTTTTGAATTAAATAAAGGGACAACGGTGAAACAAACCAAGGGAGAAAAGGGTGAAATGAACAGCTAGAAAAAATATAGACGGAGTGGTTGTAAAACAAACAAAAAGGTGGGGAGAGGAAAGAGGGGAAAATCATAATGCTGTATCAGTAAGTTGAATCATACAGCAGGAACAAATGGTGAAAATAATGCAGTTCAAAGACAGGAATCAGAAATTATCTGAGTCTTTAAAGGCAAACTTTCATGACTGCAAAAATAATCTAAACGCAGAACATTTTGATTGGTGTTAGGTTCAATTGTGTTCAAGAAATGCTGCTCTGTGTTAATTATTCTTGCTTGGACCTTAACACATTGCCAGCACTCATTCATAGCTCTGCCTAGAGTTTATTGTTGGATCTTATTGGGCAGTTGACGAGTGTGATGACTTTAAACCTTCTTTCTTGCAAATTTGGTTTCCTCCTGCTAAGCCTGTAAAACACCCCTTTGCCACCAAACACAGGTAACTTAATAGAGGAGTCTATTCTGAAGTTAAGAAGGAATTTACCAGTACAAACAGAACTTCTGTGGAACAGCACCAATGTGTCCTGACATGATTCTCAGCAAGGATTTTTCTGGTAATAAATTTTAAAAACCCAAGAATGTATTTGAAAATATCTCAGACTTCCAAATCCATTTACTACTGAAAAGGCAAATTTGTTTAAGGCAGATGTTAGCATAGGCTAAGAGTCACATTTTCAGCTTGGTTGTCACATGACTAATTTATATACAGCCTAAGTGTTGAAACAAAGAAACAAAGGTGATTGAGTCAACTTTAAGTTTCATATATAGTGAGACCTTTCTCCTTTATTTTACAGTGTGCCAAGCATATAAAAATGACTTGGTTGTATAAAAATGACGTTTACTAAATTAGTTTAATTTTAAGACCTGATAGCTGAACTCACACATGAAGCAAATATTTTCCTTCTAGAATTGATGTTGCTGCTCTCCCTGGAGTTTCTTGATTGCTTTGAGGAAAGAAGTAATGTTTCAAGAACATATCACAGGGGTATTTGGAAATGTAAACTATGCTATTTAAATTTTATTGCTACTCAAATGAGAGTTCCCAGGATCTTTCTCATACTAATCTGTCCTTGAGAAAAGTGCCTTACCTTTTTGAGCCACTAGGAAAACAAGCTGCCAATACAAATTATTTATAATCTCAGTTCTTTCTAAGGACAATGGGTCCTGTTACCAGAGGATGCTTTATTTAACTTAGCCCCATGTTGGGTTTGGGTTTGAAAAATTAAGAGTGGTAGAATGACAAGAGATGAAATGCTCTGTAGAGTAGAATGAAAAGGAATTTAAGGTTTCTACTGAGAATCAAGGAAAGAGAGGGGAGTCAGAATTCTGAATACTGTAGGAGGTCTCCATGCAACTCAAGAGGGGCACTACAGAAAAATGTTGAAAAGTAACTGTCCCACTTTTGCAATGGGGTTGAGGAATTTAAACTCTTAATTCATTTCCTAACAGGTTGTGTACTTTTGTTTTGAATAGTAAAAGGCAGCGTTCATTGTTTTGTGTATTCTGTAATTTAAAGAAAAACATTGTATATATTCTTTAATACTTAAGACATTTATTTTTTAAAGATTTTTTTTGTCAGAATAAGGGTTCATAAACTTTCCCAAACATGGAAATGTCTTGTTCCTTCTAAGGAATGTCTTGTACCTCATAATAAGCATCATAATTATGAGTCTCCTTGTATTAACCTCTCAGAGAACAAGGCACATGGTGAACTCTACTACCTCAATCGGCAGCTAGAAGTTACCCTCAGCAAATAAAAAGGTTGAAAAAACTAAGTTTCAGCTCACAGTATTAGAGTGGGTTACATTTTAAGTAGAAAAACATTTGGTTATATCATTGTCCTTATAGCATGATTCTGACTTATTTGCATAAACAAATATTTATGTTCTTGTTTATGTATTTTTGTAAAACAATATCTATAGGAAAAGTAGGCCTATCCTATAAACCCCCGGAAGGGAAGGTTGATTCAGACACAGTCTTTTAACCAGCTTTGTAGCTGTACCTCAGTTTCTTATTGTGTCAAATTGGAATAATACCCACCTCTACGATATTCACAGGAATATTATGGGGATAGAAGACAAAGAGAACATTTGAAGTTCTATTGGTTCACGAAGGAATAAGTTGCTAATGTATTTTTCTTTTATAGGTTTCTATATTTTAATTACAAGGGTAATATTGCATAGAGAGTTATGCATTTTTTAAAAATGAAAATCTCATTTTACCTCCCTCTTACCCAATAAATTCTACTCCCCTCTTCAAAAGTGATTATTGTTTTCAATTATTAGAGATTCTTTTCTCTATTCTTCTGTTGTTAATTTCTAATTTTATGGCATTGTGATTAGAGGACATAGCCTGAACTATTTCTGTTTTTTGAAATATTTTGAGATTATGTGTAGGGGAGGAACTCTGTTAATTGTTGATGTATTTGTTTTGAAGGTTCAAAAAAGACATGTATTTTCTGTATGTGGGTTACAAAGATAGAAGTAAATAAAGAAATAGAAATAAACACATATTACATCAAACTTGCTGATTGTTATTGAAATCTTACATATTTACCTCTTTTTTGTGCAGCTGATTTTTCAAATTCTGAAAAAAGGTATATTAAATTTCCAATTGTGATTTTAGAAGTTACTCTCTCCTTGCATTTCTAACAAATTTCTTCTTCATGATTCCAAAAGCTATAATAATGTCTACAGCTTCACAGCTATTATATATTCTCAGAGAGATGTTCATATTTTAATATACAATAACCCTTTTGTTTGTCAAATTTGGGGCCTAAATTCTACTTTCTTATATAGTGTTGCTACACATACTTTAGTTTTGTTAATATTGCTTTGCATATGCTTTTTATTTTCAGTCTTCCTGTGCCATTTTGTTTTAGTGTTGTCTCTAACACATACCGATTTTTCTTACCCAATCAGAAAAATCTCCATTCATAGAGGAATTTACCCGATTAATAAGCACCACATTAATAAATCTAATTAAATAATATTAAGAATTATCACCCATTAATATTATAACAAATTTCACAATTAATTCCATATTAGTCCTTATTCCTACTTCCTAGTTTGCATTTTCTATGAAATATATTTTGTTGTTCTCTCTTTTCCTCTACTTTTTTCTGTTGGACTTTTGGGTTATTAATGTTCATTTTATTTCTTTTCCTCTATTTAGAAGTTATAGAATCTATTTTTATTATTTAGTGATTACTCTTACATTTGTAGGTCACACGTTTCAACTTATATATTTCAAAAACATGTGAAATGAATTAATGTCTGCACCATCTTGCTGGACAAGGGGAAAACCTTAGCATTCTCTAATTTTATTTGCCCTATCACATGATGTAATTATCTAATAATTTACTTAAAAATTAATATATTTTGTATTATGCACTGGCAATTATTTAGACAACTAAAAGTTTTACCGAATTTTGCTCACTAGAATTTTTTGTATGCCATACCTTCCTCTTTCTGCAACATATCCTTCAGGGTCTGTGGGCTGCTTGAATAAGGCCTTATGCCTGAAAATGATTTCATTTTGCCCTCATATTTGGACTATAGTTAGACTGAGCATAGACATCTAAATTAAAAATTATTTTCACTCAAGGAATATTATGCAGCTTCAGAAAGAAGGAAATCCTGTCACATGTGACATGGATAAACCTCAAGGACGTTATGCTAACTGAAATAAGTCAGTCATGAAAGGGCAAACAATGTATGATTCTACTCATATGAAGTATCTAAAAAAAATAGTCAAAATTATAGAAACAGAAAGTAGAAAGGTGGTTGCCAGAGGTTGGGGGAAAGGGAGAGACAATTAGTGTTTAATGGGCATTGAGTTTCAGTTTTGCAAGATGAAAAAGTTCTAGAGACCTGTTGCACAACAATGTGAATATACCTAACACTACTGAATTGTACACATAAAAACAGTGAAAATGGTAAATTTAATATTATGTGTTTTTTACCACAATAAAATATATGTTCATTCAAAAATTTGAAAATATTGCTCACGTTTTCTTCTTGCATTCAGCGTGGTTAATTAGAAAAAAGTCTGATGCTAATCTGTTTCTCATTCCTTAGCGGGTAATGGTTTATTCCTTTCAAGAAGCTATTTGGATTTTTGCTTTATCCTTGGCATTCCAATCTTATCATGCTGTGCCTAGGTAGTCGTCTTTTTTCATTTACCATGTTCAGTACTTGCTAGGTCTTTTAATATGAGGAATCAGCTCTTAGTTCTTGGAGATGGTCTTCTGTTACTGATTTAAGTTATCAATCCCCTCCTTTCAGAAAATCTTGGGGCTCTCATTTCATCCTACCATGTTTCTCAACTTCTCTTTCAGATATCATATCTTTCTAATTTTGTTCTGTATTATGGGCAATGTTCTCACCTTTATTTTCCAGACCATTAATTTGTTCTTAATATATGCCCATTTTATGGTTCAGCCCATCTATTGGATTTTATTTTATAATGTTACTTTTAATTTCTACATAGTGTTTTTTATTCTTAGATTGTTCTCTTTTTATATCTCCCTATTCTTGATTTATGAATGCCTCTTGAATATCTCTAAGGATAAAAAATGATTTTTAAAATTCTTTCTTATGTTCCCCAACTTAGGTCTTTGTCTTTTAAAGCTCATGTCATTGGATTTTAGTACTCACTGCTCCTTCATTATTGTTGTAATTATTGTCCTCCCAATCACCCACTCATTTCTTAAGGAGTTTAAACATCTGGTTCATTGTCACTCTATCCAATAGTCCTATTGCCTTAATTCTTGTCAATGTCTATATCTACTGGGATGAACTTCTCTCCTCCATGACCTTACCTTCCACCTTACCTTAGCCATTAATGCTAATGGCCATCTTGCTAACAATTTCAACCCCTCCATGATCTTTACTTTATGTATCTTATTTCTTGACTACCATGTTGGGGGTACTCTCTCTAGTACTCCAACTCAAATAATGCCTTCACCCAACCTGGAATCCAATGCATTGTTCCTACCATCTTTTCTGTTTCCCTCACTCCTCAGACAGCTTATCTCCCTCCTAGATTATCTTAAATTTTATGGTTAATCATTATATTCACTCTCTTGCACATGCCTTCAATTCCCCTGCCTCACTGTCACTTTGTTTTGGGTGTTTGACCAAATCACAAGCCTAGAAAAATCCAATTTTTCTGCCTACTCCAAACCTAAACCTGGGCGATTTAATATGGCTGAACGATCTCACTTTAAACTTAAATGGGTCTTTAATGGTGCCCAGCAAATATACTATAGTTCCCTAGGCCATTTGTTCTCCTACAGAACATAGAACTATCACATTCCTTTCAAATATTTCAGCACATCCACCCATATCCTCACTCTCAACTGATGATTTTTTTTATTTCACTGGGAAAACTGAAGCAGTGATAAGAGAACTTCAGCACATTATCTTCTTCCCATCTACCACCAGATTTCCACCACCAGACCTCTCCAATTACCAACATCTGTAGAGGATGCTCTGTGTTCCCACTTTCTACTGTAGGTGAACTACCCATGCTCCTATTTAAAAGATGTCTCCTCTTGTGCAGCAGATCCAATCTTTGAAGGACATAACTCCAGAACTCTTCACTCTCTCTCTCCTATATCACCAGTTTTTTTCCAGTGTGTCTTTGTCAGCAGCAGACAAACATACATTTATATCTCCTATCTTTCATCACAAACAAGAAAACATATCTTTCTTCACAAATTTGTTACGTAGCAATAGATAGCTAATACAGTGATAATATGTTCTACATAAATGATCTTTTCAAATGTATTACAGAAAATATTAACCTTCATTATTTTAATAATTTTTACAGATTACTTGGGAAAAGAGAAAGAGTGAAAGGAAATTTCAGACATGAAGCACATGCTTGCAAAAGACTTAAAAGTGGGAATAAGATGAACACAAAAGAGAACTTCAAACTCGCTGCTCCTGGAATAGTCAGATCAGCCAGCAGCGTGGGTAGGAATCAAGGCAGTGAACTGGTCCATCTTTTGAGAGGCATCCTGTAAAGAGCATAAAACCCTGAGCCTAAACTCTGAGACTCCATGCACTGTGAGATAGAAGCCATTTTTCCAAATGAAAATTGGCATGATCCAGAGGCCTGGCAGGAAAGGTAGCATCAAGTTCCAAGTGGAGATAGATGACTGAACTCAGAGCTAAGAAGCAAAGGAACAACTAAGGAAGCCATTACCAAAGCGGAAGCAGAGGGAGAAGTTTTAGCCTATGCCAGAAGAGGGTGAAAAGGACAATCAGTACATGCTGCTATAAGCATTTGAGATATATTTCATACAATTTCTCTGTATCAGTTGTGTTAGCTTGTGGCCTAAGGTTTACAAATGATTGGCTCAACTCACCTTTCCATTTCCTGAGGAATTTCCAACATTTTCTTCCAGAATTTCTGAGAATTTAGAGAAGGCTTCAGTTTGCAGACCCAGCTATGGCTTTCAACTCCTTTCTCTGCTTGATTAATCCAACTTACTGTCTTACTTTTCCACTTGTATGGTCTCTGTTTGCATCAGATTGACACAGATAAGGAACTCAACCTCTTTTCTTGGTTTTCCCTCTCCTAACATACATTAAACATTTTATGCCCTTATATCAGGCTTTCAAGTATGTTATATAGTATGTGTCACTGAAGTTTTGGGAGAAGTGGCAATAATTTCTGCCACAAACAATGTAATATTAAACATTAGATATCCCTGTTCTTTCTTTACAAAAAAAAAAAAAAATCCCTCAGCTAATTTTATTCACTTGGGCTCCAGGTTCTCATCATATTACCTAGCTTCTTTTTCTCTTCTCTCTTCCACCCCCTCTGTGTCCTCTTCTATTCCAAGCAATTTATCAAGATAGTTTCCCAAGCAAAGATTGATCTCTCCCTCAGAGGAATTTTGGTGCCAGCTGTTAAGATAATTGGTTCTTACCTTGCTGAAGTTGACAGGCTGATTGGTATAAGAAATCAATCATAGACTTGTGTTGAAGATTATTACACAATTCCTTGATATTAAAGGGGTGACATGAATCAGAGACAGAGCATTTTTTATGGCCAGAATGGATGGATAGTGGTACTTTCTTTTCTTTCCTCATGCTCGATGAGCATAAATAATCTCATTCCTATGTTTATATAAGTCAACTCTGAAACAAAACTTGGTTCCGAGACCAGAGAAGAGCCAGTTAGACTCCAATTCTCTTTTTGATTGTGAAATAATGACATTTTTAGGCTATGACTTTTCAAACAATGTTTTAGGAATCTTGAAGGACAAAGGACAATGTTTTATAAATCCTAATCCAGAAGGACAATGCATGATACTAAATAACAGGAATAAACTCAAAAGCACATATATTAATATATTGCTGAACACCATTGAAAGTAACTAGGGTACCAATTCTTTACTCTGAAATTTGGCAATAAGTTTTGCCTTTCCTGTATGAACTGTATATAAGGATAACCCAATAACCATATTTGATCAGCAAAAGATTTTTGTTTGCTTGCTTTTGAAATAATTCCAGCTAATAAATTTAAAATAAATGACAGAATTTTTAAAAATCATTATTCTGAAACTGCTAATAAGATAATTGAATTAGGCAACAATCACCAATACATAAACCCCTTAGAAGAAAGTTTGATGGAGAACTTAAAATGGAAGCTTTAGGTTTTTCGCTATTGGAACCCTCTGATCAATATTAGTATTACTAAATGTCGGACAAATAGCCATTATGTGCCTTTGCCTTCTGAGTTGAAGTATAGAGGCCAGCATATACATGACAGGTATTTTCATGTTTCTGTTTGGGAAGGCATGAGTTACTTCAAACTCTGTACTTACTATAGTATTGTAACATCATACACAAGCTGAATTAAGTTTATATTACTTTTCAGGTGAGTTCAAAATTATTATTTTCATTTAGAAAATGTGTATTGAGTACCTTTTATGTTACAGACACTGTGCTGAAAGAGGTGGGTAGGTAGGTCAATGTGCTTCCTAAATTTGGAGATAATTATCTTTCTGTAGGTTCGTTATGCTTGACTATTTCCATGTTCTCCCAATGATGATTTGACATTTACTTATCACTTTACTCACAGGGAATTAAAATGTAATGTGTTTCAACTGTATTTTTCCTTAACTGAATAATACTGCTATATGATATGCTAACTACAGACTGTGCTAATTCACTAAACGAATTCTGTTATGCTGTAATTTGAACTCTCCTCACCACAACTTATTAAAAAGGCACCAACAGTTTCCCATAAAAAAAAAAGGTTTTGTGGATTCAAAAGTGAAAGAATCCAAACTCCATCCTCAAGGAATTTATAGTCACATGAATAAACAAACTTACCCAATCAACATTAGAGGAGATGAACACAAAAGTAGATGCTATATAAGTCGCCACCTAATTCTCCAAGGGCTAACATGGCATATTTCAGAGAGGAGTTGACATCGGAAACAAGATATAAATGATGAACATCTCCCCAACCTGACAATGGAGGAAAATGTCATTACGTGAAGAATAGCAAGTACCAAAACCAATAGCAGTGAAGAAATGTGGCACATTCAGAAAATGTCCAGTGGCCTGTTTTGGCTAAAATATAGGATATATAATGTAGTGAGAAGATGGTGGAGTATTCAGGAGATAACACTTGAAAATTAAACTGGGGCTTGATTATAAAGTACTTTGTATGTTCTGATATAGATTTTAAATTTTATATAGTAGACTTTAGATTGCCACTGCCCTTTTTAAAGTGAGAGTGATATTACACCCTCACTCTAGAAATCTTAGGGAAGATGGGTTGAAGATGAGCCTGACTTGAGGCAAGGGTAGAGTTAAGTGACTGCTGAGACTGCGATAATGAGAGACCGAGAGACCGGGGCAGCAAGAGTGGGGCCAAACAGGAAGCCATGAATGGGAGATTTAGAAGAGAGAGAAGCTAATGTCCACATCATAAGCAGAGGAGACGGAGTGTGCCAATTCAATGCATATCAGCTAAAAGAATGTGTAGAGAAACGTCTCTCCCAGAGCCTCCTCATCTATTTAGTATGTTCCAATTAAGCAATAAAGATTCCTAAAACATTGCTGAAATGTCATAGCCTAAAAATGTCATTATTTCACAATAAAAAGGAAAACTGGAATCTAACTGGCTCTTTTCTGGTCTCAGAACCAAGTTTTGTTTCAGAGTTTATTTATATAAAAAATAGGAATGAAATTATTTACACTCATCTAGCATGAGGAAAGAAAAGAAAGAAACCCTAAGACAAGAGGCGTGATGATATATGTTACTTGGGATGAGCCCTGCATTCTAATGACATCTTGTAACAGAGCTTTTTTATAGCAGCACACTTGTAGCAGCTGTTGAGTGGTTTTACTTACATCGCCTTTATCCTGTGCATTTAGATGGCATGTACCACCAAGTTTCCTATCTTTAGAATATTATTTGGGCCTGTAAGTTATACAATATTCTCAAGTACATATCTTCAACATCAAGTGCAAAGACCAAATGGATGGAAACTATTTCTTGCATCCAATGACTTAATTAAGTCTCCACCTGGTTCTTGAATTCCTGTGCAGCATTTAAATCTGGATAATATAACAAAACAGTGCCTAGTTCTGACACACGTCCATGAGCATTGGAAACATGCAAAGACAGTAAACACACGTGGATTTTCTATAGGCAGTTAGACTACAAATATGGCTATATTTTCCTACCAACTCTTCACCTATTCGTATCCAAAAATACTTTTTTCCAATTTATAAAAATGTATTCTTAGCACATTTCTTTCCAGTCATACAAAAATAAGGGATAGAGATGATAAGTCAGTAAGGAGAATGAGACTTTGACAGGGAAGATTAGCAGAGAAAGTGCTGAGGGAGGTGGAGACATAAGGGAAGAGACTCTGTGTCTGCTCTTGAATAAAAAAAAAAAGCGGGGGGGGTGCGGGCAGGAGGCCACTACCCAGAGATACAACATCTACAAAGAAAGAATTCCAAAGCAGAGATTTATCAATGAGTCATTGCACTGGAAAGTAATTGCAGAAAGTCAGCCAGAAGAAATAAAATGGCTATTACCTTAAAAGGAGGCAAAATGAAATGAATTTCAAAGTACTTATTCTGTGTGGTAAAAACCAGTACAGTTTGAAGGACAGAGACTTTGGAGCCACAGAGGCCTGTATTTCAAAGCTCCACACTTCCACTTTCATCAGGAAGGCTTTAAGTAAGTTATTTAAACTCTAAACCCTGGGTGCTTCATTTTTTACATAGAAATAAGAATGTCTAACACAGGGCTATAGTGAGAATTAGATTAGATAATGTTTGAGAAGCATTTTATATGCCTTTAGTGTAACTACTAAATGGTAGCCATTATGTAACAGGTACTAATGGTGACTTGGTTGCCTTACTGTACTCAAAGATGCAGGGCTATCTTTGCAGAACCTGTTCTAGGACAGGCAACTAAATGGAAAAGGCCATAAATGTTCATGAGCGGATTCAATTATGAAAATAAAGAGAAAGATTATGCTTAAGAAAAATAAAGAAGTATGACATCTGGCTAGTAAAAGCAAAGCTAGATTGTTTTATGGTGATAAATGATCATTATTCCTCTAAGACTATATTAAAAAGGCTTCTGGCCCAGTCATTCAGAACAATCTCAGATGTTGATATCAATGGTTTCTGGATCATGACCTGCTAGAGATTTCTGGTGAAGTTAAACTACCCAAGCCAATTTCACTCACCAGTATCTTTTTCCCTTACTCAATAAATAGGTTAGGTGAATGAATGAATCAATCAGTCAACCAATCAATTGATTAATCAATTCCTAGATTAGAAACTCAAAGTACCATCCACCTTAATGCATGGAATAAAGTACAGTGTTCACTTCTATCAAAATCACTGCACAAAGAAAGTCACAGCTATTAGACATGGCATTCTTCAGCAAGCTAATGTGAATTAAATGAGTTCTATTTTATTTTGGACTATTATTGAAATATGCCATAAGCACACGCTGGAGAAATGTCCAAAAGCCAAATAACTTTCAGTGTCTAATGGTTACCATTAATTATCTAAAACTATTCCAACAGTAGCCATAATCACCCAGCCCTCTGTGACCTGGAAGCCCTCCAGGAATCAATTTGCATTAGCAAAGCTTTGCCTTACATGACCCGCTTCTTCACAAACCTCCCCTTATGCTGTGGTGGGAAGTCATTGCCTCATTAGCAAGCCAGTTCCTATTTCTTTTGGTTTGAATCCATCAGATACCAACGTTCAAATTTCCTGCACTCTCTCTTCTGAAACATATAAAATGACTCTATCTGAAATACCATAAAATGTCATTAGAAGGCTCTTCACAATGCCAAATTTGGTTACATGGAATGTCAAATCACAGTGTATCAGGATCGAAACAGCACTGCTAGGAATGTCATTCTGTCCCCTCCCACCTGTGTTTTAATGGAGTCACTACCCCCAAAATTCCTATGTAGAAATCTTAATGGTGGTGGTATTAAGAGGTGAGGCCTTGGGAGATATTAGGTCGTGAGGGCAGAGTCCTCATGAATGGGATTAGTGCTCTTATAAAAGAGGCCTGAGGGAGCCTGTGAGCCCCTTTGCCCGCCACCATGTGAGGACACAGCCAGAAGGCGCCATCTCTGAGGAACAGGCCCTCACCAGATATGAAATCTGCTGGCACCTTGATCTTGGACTTACTAGCCTCCAGAACTACGAGAAATAAATTTCTGTTGTTTGTACATGACACAGACTCAGGTAGACTATTATAACAGCCCAAATGGACTAACACATGTGTTAATGACCCAAATGATCTCAAGATAGCTGCCTGTTGTCCAGAAGTAATTAAGACACTGTGTCATTTATGAGCACATTGCCTACACATTTGAAGTCACCAAAAGCATTTCTAAACTCAGGGTCCTTCTGCCTGACACGAACCCATAATGGCAGTTCTAGAACCAACTCTGCTGCTGACTAGCTGGGTCAATGCAGTAAAGTTACTTGGCCTCTGCATACCTTAGTCTTATCATTTATAAAGTGGAGGTAATAATAGCATCTACCTCTGAGGATTAAATCAGTTAATAATATAAAACCTCAGAACAGGGCTTGACACATAGTAAGAATTCCAGAGAACAGCTGTGGGAAAGTTTGAGTTCTATAATGGAAGAGTCCCATTTCAAAATATAGGCTTCTCTGTGTAGGGCTACTGCCACTCACTCCTAATTCTTTGCCTCTGAAGTGCAGCTTACTTGGAAAGGTACATGAGTCAAACTATGTTATCCGCAACCTAAAAAGGATGAGGTAGGGCAGGGAGGAATATGAATTCCCAGCAAAATCTGTATGTCTTGTCTGTGAAGAAAGCTGTATGCCACCAGGGAGTATTGACTTTTTTTCTTTCTTCATACTGATGGATCTTGAATTTCCAAACCACAGGCCACCTTGTCCCTTGGTATTAATGTCACAGGCCAGAGCTGTGATACATTTTATTATTAAAGGTGGGCTTTGCGTAAGCCTTAGATATTAGTTCTCAAAGCCTCCCACATGACTACATGAGAGTATTTGCAGAGCACCCTAAAAAATATATCTTCTGAGCCCCACCTCTGCATATTTTCATTCAGGAATTGTTGGGGTGGGGCATGGGATCTGGCAATTCTGAGGCATAGTCCAGGTTTGAGAACTGCCTTTTTTATTCATCTAAGAAGAAATATCCATATTCTCTAGGAGTATTAATTTTCTACATCTAATTACACTGATGAGTCTTTGAGTTACCTAGGCTGTTGGAGAATTTCTTTATCATGTTCCTAAGAGACCACTCCTCAGAACTCATCAACCGCAATCACACGTTGCATTTAACAGCAAGAAGTCTAGCCTAGCCATCTGATATGGTTTGGCTGTGTCCCCACCTAAATCTCATCTTTAAATGTAGCTCTCGTAATTCCCACATGTTGTGGGAGGGACCTGGTGGGAAATAACTGAATCATGGGGGTGGTTTCCCCCATACTGTTCTTGTGATAGTGAATAAGTCTCACAAGATCTGATGGTTTTATAAGGAGAAACTCCTTTCACTTGGTTCTCATTCTCTCTTGTCTGCCACCATGTAAGATGTGCCTTTTGTCTTCCACCATAACTGTGAGGCCTCCCCAGCCACATGGAACTGTGAGTCCATTAAAACTCTTTTTCTTTGTCAATTACCCAGTCTCGGGTACGTCTTTATCAGCAGTGTGAAAACAGACTAATACACCATCTTACAGACCATAATAGATCTCTGCAGATTCATTTTCTCCTTCCCTCTAATCTCATGGTCACAGTTTTTGGCAGGACTGACCCATCTCTAGCTCCAGTGTTGTTGTAGAAAGGGTGCTGAATGGCTCAAGCACATCTATGTGTCCTATCTCCTTGACCACATGGGTGGATATGAATTTAATTTGGGCAAATGTTTTATTTTTAGAGGATTCTTGAAAGGGAGGTTTTTCTCCCTCTCTCTCTCTTTCTCTCTCAGTAACTACCATAAAAGACACTCTGTCCCACCAAAAATGAATGATAAAGCATTTAATACTACCCTGGATGCTGTTAACAGAGATCTTGAAACTATGAGGGAAGTTCACTTCAGAATAAAGTTTATAATGTGGAAAATCAAATAAAGATACAGAAACAACTCATATACCAAGTGATATCACTCAGCAACTAGATCAAGTCTCACCTGAAGCTCACCTTACCACTGAACATTAACTATATAAACCAAGAGATTTCTCCTATTATTAAACCTGATTCAAGTTGCATTTTATAGTCTTTAAAACAAAAGGCATCCTTAGTGATTCTTATCTGTATTTGTCCATTCTCATGCTGCTATAAAGAAATACCTGAGACTGGGCAATTTATAAAGAAAAGAGGTTTCATTGACTTAGAGTTCAGCATGGCTGGAGAGGTCTCAGGAAACTCACAATCATGGCAGAAGGGGAAGCAAATACATCCTTCTTCACTTGGCGGCGGAAAGGAGAAGTGCCCAGCAAAAGGAAGAAAAGCCCCTTATAAAACCATGAGATCTCATGAGAACTCACTCACTATCATGAGAACAGCAGCATGGGGGTAACCACACCCATTATTCAATTACCTCCCACTAGGTCTCTCCCATGACACGTGGGGATTATGGGAACTACAATTCAAGAGGATATTTGAGTAGGAACACAGCCAAACCATATCATCCCACCCCTGGCTCCTCCGAAATTTCATGTCCTCACATTTTAAAACAATCATGCCTTCCCAACAGTCCCCCAATGTCTTAACTCATTCCAGCATTAACCCAAAAGTCTAAGCCCAGCAGATCCAATGGTGCTTGGTGTGTCAGTGGTAGATACGGAAGCTGTTTGGCACCTCTGGCAGGCCCCCATAGGTGGACTGAAGCAGAGGCCTCTAGGATTTTGCAGCAAGGCCCTGTTATCTTCTGGAGATAACTCCTCTTCTTTTGAGAGGCAACTCTTGGCCTGCTACTGGGCTTTGGTTTGACTATGGGTCATCAAGTCACCATGTGACCTGAACTGCCTATCATAAACTGGGTGCTTTCTGACCCATCTAGCCATGAAGTTGGGCATGCACAGCAGCATTCCATCATCAGATGGAAGTTGTATATGCATGATTGGGCTCAAGCAGATCCTGAGGGCACAAGAAAGTCACATAGGAAGTGCCTCAAATGCCCATGGCCTCCATTCCTGCCACCCTGCCTTCTTCCCCACAGCCTGCACTGATGGCCTCATGGGGAGTTCCCTTTGAATTCTTGGACTTACACTAATGGTTTGCCAGGGGCTCTTGGGCCTTTGGCTGCACTATCAGCTTCCCTACTTTTGAGGTTTGGGGTCTCAGACTGACCCACCACTGGCTTTGTACCTCAACTTGCTGACAGCCTATGATGGGACTTGACTTTGTGATCACATGAGTCACTTCTCCTTCATAAACTCCCTTTCATATATACATATATCCTATTAGTTCTGTCCCTCTAGAGAATCCTGACCAATACAACGCCTCATAGCAAATAGTTCAAAGCTTCATAATGTCAGTTTGCTATCAACATCATAGTCAATTCAAATGTTCTTGTAGTGAAGAACACTGGCCCATCTATTCTTATACTCAGGTCTGCAACTCTGATCTTCCCAAGTGCTTAGGTATGTCTCAGATGCTGTTCAGTTTTATTTTGTTAGTTTCCCTCCTGCTTGACTTGTTACACCATCTCACATTTCCTTTGCTGATTCTTCCTCTTCTCTCTGACACCCAGGGTTCAGTCCTTACACCATTTCTCTCCTTTGTCCTCACTCAGGCACTGGTTATCTCATTTAGTCCCATTTTTATGCTGATGTCTCCCAAATATATGCAGTAATTCCAATCTAGACCTCTTTTCTAAACTCCAGACTCATACAACAAATCACCTACTTGATATATATGCTTGGATATCTTGGGCACCTCAAACTCAATGCTATAAAACTAGTAAACACCTGACCTCCTTCTCTTCATCATCTCTGGAAACATGCTCTACATAAAGCCTTCTCCATCTCAGCTAATGATAAGTTCATCTTTCGAGTTGTTCAGGTCAAAAGCTTTGAGGCAGCTTTGATTTTCTCTTATACCCTACATCAAAACTGTCAGTAAATTATATTAGTCTTACCTTCAAAATATACACAGAATTCAACCACTTCTTTCCCACCTCCACTGCCACCACCTTGGAATGAGCCTGTAAGGAATGCTCTAGCTAAAGTTGCCAATCAGAGGCATCCTGTAACTTCCAGGCCTATCAGGAGCAGACTTATTTTAGTAATCCTGCCATGCTATTTTATCGTCTTGGAAACAGCCCATGCAAAAGTGCCTTTGAGGTAAAGTCAGCAATGAATTTTAGAGTGTAGCATCTGAGGCAGTCAACTATGCTCCCTGCAACCAGAGATCTGCGAGGTGCTTGTTTTATGGTCACCACACCATTTTTCCTATTGTCTTTTCATTTGTTCTAGCATTATAGACTTATTGTCATCTATTACTATAATATCCCTTACCTTGTTTATGGCTTTGATCATACATTAGCCTCAGGGGCCTATTAACCTAGATGAGAACTTCCTTCTCCAGACTCCAGCCTGGCCAAACCTCACTCTCTAACCAATGAAGCATGAAGGTGAAGTTGAAGGCAACAAGGCTTACCTCTCTTTTATACATGGTGAAAGAGGGGAACGGATTTGTGAGAAGAACAGTGAACTGAGATGCTGCTAACCTGCCCCATCTCTTACCTAACTTGCCTAGTCCAGATAAATAATTAGTCTACGTAAACCCCAATTTCCTCACCTGTAAACGAGGATAATAATCTTTTTTGTAAAACAAGGATGATAAAATTACATTTACCTGAACAAATGAATTGCTACCAAGATTGAAATAGCTACTGTAAGAAACTGAAAAATCTAATGCAAATAAAAAGAAAAACTCTATTAAAAAATGCTGCATTAATAGAAGCAAAAAGACTATTGTCTTAATAAGAAGGTTAAACATTTTTTTAGGTTCATATCTTCATCCTTAAGTTCTCTCCCAAAATTATTTAGCATCTTGTATTTTTATTTAAGCACAGCTGAGAAACAATGTTAAAATCACATATTCATGTTTATCTATTTCACCTTGGAAAAAAATTCGATGGTCCTTTATGATATGGTTTGGCTGTGTCCCCACCCAAATCTCATCTTGAATTGTAGCTCCCATAATTCCCACCTGTTGTGGGAGGGACCCAGTGGGAGATAATTGATTCATGGGGGCAGTTTCTCTCACACTGTTCTCATGGTAGTGAATAAGTCTCACAAGACCTGATGATTTTATAAGGGGTTTCCTCTTTCACTTGGCTCTCATTCTCTCTTGTGTGCTGCCCTATAAGACGTGCCTTTCCCCTTCTGCCATGATTGTGAGGCCTCCCCAGCCATGTGGAACTGTGAGTCCATGAAACCTCTTTTTCTTCATAAATTACCATAATTGTCAGGCATCTCTTACCAGTGGCATGGAAACAGAATAATACAGTCTGTTATACATTTATCAGTGTATGTTTATACCATGTGTTTACCTAAATAAATTTTAACTCGAGGTCTGCCTACAATAAATAAATGTTTAATATTATTATTTCTAAATTATTAGCACCAAAGGCCATAAGTTGTTCTTAACTGTAGTATGTATATGTGTGAGAGTGCACTTGTATGTGAATTTCTTATTTTCTAGAAGAGCAGAATATCTACTGTTTCTGAGACAGAGAAACTGTCTTAGAAATCATTTGGATTCCATTTGTTTGCCTTCTGACAACATGTGTTCATGTTTGCTAAGCAAAGTCAGAACTCTGACTTTTGAGATCAGCCATATAGTTTTTATCTTTTGTGAATTTTAATTTTTTAACATAAATTATGACTGTTCCTATTTGGTGTCTTATTTCTTTTTATTTATTTATTTTATTTATTTATTTATTTTTTGATACAGCGTCTTGCTCTCTCACCCATGCTGGAGTGCAATGGTGCCATCTCAGCTCACTGCAATCTCCACCTCCTGGGTTCCAGTGATTCTAGTGCCTCAGCCTCCCAAGTAGCTGGGATTACAGGTGTGCGCCACCACATCTGGCTAATTTTTGTATTTTTAGTAGAGACAGAGTTTTTCCCTGTTGGTTAAGCTGGTCTCCAACTCCCGACCTCAGGTAATCCACCTGCCTCGGCCTCCCGAAGTGCTGAGATTATAGGCGTTAGCCACCGTGCCCTGTCTGGTGTCTTATTTCAAAATATATACTTATGTAATCCAATACAATAAATTTTTGAACTTTGATAAATCATTGGATATGCTCTGAAGATTTTATATGTGGGAAACACAACCATAAACTACTAGCCAATGGTCACATAACTAGATACTGCCCGAATCTTCATTTCCCACCTCTCTATCCAGTATGGTTTATCTAGTAACTTGGTAGAATTAACTAATCCATTAGAGAACATAGGAAGTATATATACATTTAGACGAAGTCTCCCTCTGTCGCCAGGCTGGAGTGCAGTGGTGCGATAACTGCTCACTGCAACCTCCGCCTCCTGGGTTCAAGCGATTCTCCTGCCTCAGACTCCTGAGTAGCTGGGACTACAGGTGTGTGCCACAACACCTGGCTAATTTTTTGTGTTTTTAGTAGAGACAGGGTTTCACCATGTTGGCCAGGATGGTCTCGAACTCCAGACCTCGTGATCTGCCCACCTTGGCCTGCCAAAGTGCTGGGATTACAGGCATGAGCCACGGCACCCAGCCAGGAAGTATATTTTCTGGGTGGCTGAGGTGGCTCACACCTGTAATCCCAGCACTTTGGGAGGCCGAGGTGGGTATATAGCTTCAGTTCAGGAGTTTGAGACCAGCCTGGCCAACATGGCAAAACCCTGTCTCTACTAAAAATACAAAAATTAGCCAGGCATGGTGGCACATGCCTGTAATCCCAGCTACTCTGGAGGCTGAGGCAGGAGAATCACCTGAACCCGGGAGGCAGAGGTTGCAGTGGGCCAAGATCGTGCCACTGCACCATTCCAGCCTGGGCAACAGAGTGAGACTCTGCTTAAAAAAAAAAAAAAAAAAAGGAAGTGCATTTTCTGAAAAATCAAGATACTTTATTCCTGATTTATTTATTTACAGCTTGCCTTGTTTCAAAATGTAATATGTGATGAGTCTAAGAGATAGGATCCCTCTGGTTGTATGCTTAGATTAATATGTTTGGCATTTATAGTGGATAATATTATACTTTAATTGAAAGTTATTTTGAAAGGATACATGAAATAATTTATGTTTTAAAAGAATTGTTACAAAATAATTCACCTGAAACAAATTGAATTTTTGACTATTTACGAAAAAGTTATCCTACACATAATTATTCAGAAATAGATGCAGAATTAGAACTCTATCAATTGGAGTTTAATTAGAAAATCTGAAGCCACCCTAGGTATTTTTATTAGACAGAAACTCAATATAGAGAATTATATACTTACACAACCATTGCAAGACCTGGGAGAATGAATGAAGATGTAGAAATGAATGAAGAGAAAGCCATTTTCAGATATTTCAGAGGCAAGGTGATCACAGGAAAGCTGTAGCACATGACCCAAGCTGCCTGCAACACCAAAACAGATGATTCTTAGGAGAAGCTCCAAAGTCAAGACAACTATCCCTTGTCTTGGTTAACCACTCACAGCTCTCTATAGAGATGAGCACAAACCAACAGACGAGAACTGGAAAGTGGTGATGGCTGCACTCTTAGCCACTTTGCTTGGGAAATCAATGGTAGTGCTAATAGCATCCTTTCAAGGAGAGGAAATTATGCATTTTCTGGGATTATGGATGTTTTGGGAAGTTATGCATCCTGTGCAAAACTGTACAACCTGATCTAACCTTGGCAATAAATGAGTTTGCCAAGTCTCAATCAGATCAGAGTCAGATGATCTTGTTGTCTGATCATGTTCATTTGGATTCCATTTGTTTCCCTTCTGTCAACATGTGTTCAATATTTCCAAAGCTAACTTAGGTTAACCTCACTTCAGGATTCTTTCTCAATCTGCTTTTTCTACATCTCATGATCTCTTTGATGGCTCTTTACCTGGACCTCACTACATGTTTGACTTTTCACCTTACTACCATGCTTGATTCTATTCTATGTTCCAATGTGCATAAGAATAAAAAAATGCTGATGGCTCAATATTTCATGTATGCTGTGTAAATTTATGTGTGACAAATCCATCAGGGACTGTAGACAGGGAATGTGATAAAAATTCTCATTCCTTGAATCTATTAAAGCGGAAAAAGTACCAGAATGTGGCAAGTAAGAGAAGCCGCAATAGTTAATTATCATGGCATGCAGCTCATCTGTAATTAATCCTTTTCTTCAGCAGGATTCTGCAACTGTAGCATAAAAAAAAAAAACAGGTCAGATGATGCTTTAATTAAGGCTGTACAGTGTTGCTGCTTCTACAGCAACAAGAACTGTTTTTTGTCTATAGGTGTGTGTGAAGCACTACAAATATTTTCTTAACATCTTTACAGAGTGCTGTTTAAGCATCTTTGCTAGCATGTCTAGAGACAGACTGATTACAATTCAAAAGAGCTTTTCTGTTCTCCTCACACCCATCTTAGGAGCCACTAAAATCATCTAAATGCCATGCCAGTGGGAGGAGACACTCTCACCAAGGAGCTAGAAATGAAACACGAGGTGCCATTGCAATTGGGAATGGCACTGCCTTGAAATTTACAACCCTCCTAACCAGCTACCCAGGTTCAGGTCAAGGGCCTGCAGTGTGTGCTCACTTGACAAGATCTGACTGGTTGTGAGTCCCCAGCTATCACCCTGAAATAATGATCCCTAGCTGCGATATTCAGGGTTAGAATGTGTACTGAGGGGAGATGATACATAAGGAAAATTTTATAGTCCCTCTACTGTGTATACAATTCTTTTACAGATTATTACATGGAGTAAGGCTGGCAGTATGCCCTAGTTAGATCCCATAATTTTTTAAATGACTTGTCCTATGATTACAAAGATATTGCTATTACCAAAACGGAGAGGCATACTGTGACAAATAGCTACTGCTCAACATTACCTGTGTTCTTGTCTTCTTTGGTGCATGGTTAGTTGTGCTTCCCAGGCCCTTGCAATTAGATACAATCATGTCACTTATTCCTACAATAAAACTGGTGTCACCTCCATGTCAAGGCAGTTTAGAATGGTTGTGCCTTCTCCATCTTCTCTTTCTTCTTTTTTAGCCAGCTGAATTCAGAGAGTTCAATGGAGCATGTACTTGAAGGTCCTAGAAGACATAAGAAGTCTGTATGGAAGACCCCCATCCACCCCACTGACTTGCATTAGATCATGGCTTAGCACATTATATATCTTCATTGTGAGACGTCACTGAGATTTGGGAGTTTTTATTATGGACTTCACCTATGCTGACTGATACATGCGCTATATCACCTGATCAGCCTCCTGGTTCCTCCTGTAATTAGTAATATGTATTTATAAGATGTCTAGACAAATACTAGGATCTGGTGATTTTTGTGGCATGGTCTGCGTGAATAGCATTTTTCTCTGTACTATAGCAAACTAATTACCTTGGTTTTAAGAACCCTAGTTTTCCCCTGCCCAAGGAAATCAGCTTGAACAATCTAACCAAGAAGTGACCAACACCTGGTATTAAAAGCAGTCTAGGCCGGGCGTGGTGGACCATGCCTATAGTGTCAGCACTTTGAGAGGCTAAGGCAGGCGGGTCACTTGAGGTCAGGAGTTTGAGACCAGCCTGACCAACATGGTGAAACCCTGTCTCTGCTAAAAAGACAAAAATTAGCCAGGCATGATGGCAGGCACCCATAGTCCCAGCTACCGAGGAGGCTGAGGCACAAGAATCACTTGAACCCAGGGAGGTGGAGGTTGCAGTGAGCCGAGATCACACCACTGCACTCCAGCCTGGGCAACAGAGTGAGATTCTGTCAAAAAAAAAAAAAGCACTCTATATCTAAATCCTAGGAAAAATATCTAACTTAATACCTACTGTAGACTCCAATACCTTTACAGGTAAAATAAGCTGCTCCATTCAGGATTATGGCGTTGCCAGAGGAAGTCTTCCCTTTTTGGTTTTTGGTTTTTGGTTTTTTTTAAGCCTGTAGCCAGGCTGGAGTGCAGTGGTGCAATCTCGGCTCACCGCAATCTCTGCCTCCCGGGTTCAAGCGATTGTCCTGCCTCAGCCTCTCGAGTAGCTGGGACTACAGGCACCTGCCACCACACCCAGCTAATTTTTATATTTTTAGTAAAGATGGTGTTTCACCATATTGGCCAGGCTGGTCTCGAACTACTGAGCTTGTGATCTACCCGCCTCAGCCTCCCAAAGTGCTGGGATTACAGGTGTGAGCCAATGCACCCAGCCCTTCCCTTTTTTTGTCGGGCACAGGAGATGGTCAATGTGTGTCTGTTGTCCTATGTTGCCAACAAACAGTGGCACTCATTCTCCCATTATAAAGTAAGATGCTCTATTTGGTGGGACAATGTATCTCTAACCAGTAAACATTTGATAAGCAATGGGGGAATGGTCCTTTGTAAATTTTGCTCAGGATATCCTATGGGCTGAGAAATTTGCCTCCTTCTTGTCCAAAGAATATGATACTGTCTCCTTAGTGAAGAGCTCTGTTTTCATGAATGACCCTCTGAGATTGTGTTTTTGAGGCCCTCAAACTGGTCTGGCCATTTCTGTATATATATAAACACCTTGGAAATATCTACAGATATAGTGGTGGGGTGTGAGGCATTGGGAGAAGATAAAAATGAAGAAAACAGACATTAAGGCCTTAATCTTTTCCATCTCATTTCCAAAAAAACTAAACTCAGCCAAGGTAACACTCGGCAGATCATTTCCTCTTTCGTACCTTCCAATCATACTAATAATGATCACCTCAATGTTGTTGCTTTCTCTCAAAAGCAATTAGAGCTGTGGAATATCAAAATTTTAGCCAATCTCTTTTATTCTTTGCATCAAATCTCATAAAAATGGAGAGGCTGCACAGTCTATCTGGAAATCATCAGAGAAGCAGAAACCGGTAAGCAGTTCTCTATACCCACTCCTCCCCTATGTGCCCCACACCTGACTCAGACAGAAGCTAGCACAGGCACGCAGCAACTGGGTTTGCTGAAAGCCCAATAGAGGTATGTTTCCGAAAGGATTCACTGCCTCTATTTAGAAATTGGAGCCATTTTATCATTCATCCCATGGAAGATAATAGTCCGCTTAGTATGCACAGAATAGCAAAGTCATGTGACTTTGCCTCTTAGCTTTAGGGCCCCATCTTAATGGACTGAAAGAGTAATATAAGTGAGATGTAAGAACTAGAAGAGAAAACACTGTTTTTGGTGTTAAACTGTTTCAGGCCCTGGAAATGGGCTTTATTTAATCTTTTTGTGAATGTATGTAAGGTCAACAATGTTTTGGTAAAGCCCGCAATTCTGCCATGCGGTGCCATATGGGAAATGTGCTCACAGTGCTCAGGCTGTCTGCTGTTGGTAAATAGAAGCTATATTATAGCACTTTCTATAGCATGTGGACTGGCCTGTGGCACTCCAGTGTTAGGATAGTGTGATATTGGTAGCTACTGAAATGGAGACATGAGAGCTGTTAGGAATATTTTCTCAGTTGTCATCATGGCAGAGGCCAGCAGAACAGCAACTGGCCCACTTGTGACATATATATCTCTTCCCAACTTCTCCTTTTATTCCTCCTCCTCTCCCTCACCTGTAGCAATAAAGGAGGGAGGGAGGGAGGGAGGGAGGAAGGAAAGAAGGAAGGAAGGAAGGAGACGAAAGAAAGAAAGGAAGGAAAGAAAGAGAGAAAGAAAGAAAGAAAGAAAGAAAGAAAGAAAGAAAGAAAGAAAGAAAGAAAGAAAGAGAAAGAAAGAAAGAAAAGAAAGAAAAGAAAGAAAGAAAAGAAAAGAAAGAAAGCATTTAACTGGTTCCACCAATTATATAGTCTTGATGTATTTTCCTTCTCCTTTCCATTATTAACAAAAATAAAGCAAGTTCCCAAATTTGGAATTAGTTATGCAAATATTCAGTGCTTTCTTTGTTTAAAAATTCTTAGCAGCTGCTACTAGGAGAGCAGAATATAAATAGCATCAGGTGTGTATTATTATACCCAGCTGAACAGCTGCAGTACTTATATTTAATTCCTCATGTTATACTTAACCCTTCCTCTCTGTAATAATATCAGTTCTTGTGTAAAGCTTTTATGAGGTTTTCCCTAGAAGAACCTTGCCAATAAAGAATGAATGAATAATTTAAAAACCACAGATAACTCAAAACTCTCATTCTAGGCAATGGTTTCTCAAATTCTCTTTCATCAATGAGTGGACTAAGAGACCAGATTGTCTTTGCTCTGTCCTGCCCATTGTTTAGTGAGAGGGGTTGGAGCTGTAAAATAGGTAAGGTGATGGAGGAAGAAGAAAAAGCAAGAGACCCAAATGCAGTCATTCATATTCTAGATATTTACTCCCTAGATATTAAAATTACCAATATCATCCACCGATCAATAAATATTTTTATTATAGAAAATACCATAGTATATATACTATATATGTGTATATATGTATATATGTGTGTGTGTGTGTGTATATATATATATATATATATATAATATATACTTTTATTGCAGGAAAAAAGGTAAGCTATCTATTTGGAGAGATGTTACTAACATGGAATAAATAATTCTAAAACATGCAACTCTCATGGCAGTCAGAATTCACAAAGGTGAGAGAGATGGTTGTAAGCCAGCATAGACATTTGAGTTAGATCTTTGATGGATAATTTTTATATTAATGTGAAGAAAATGGTGACTTAGAGCTCCTGCAATCCTTGCTCAAAGTCACGTGATTACTCAATGGATTCCCAAGGCTAGAGCTCAGAATTTTTAAAGTCCCCACAGTAAACATAAGAAAATATTTTCTCATGTCAAAAATATATGGCTTTAGGTAGTGTCTTAGTCCATTTTGTGTTGCTATAACAATATACCAGAAACTAGGTAAATTATTTTCAAAAGAAATGCATTTGGCTCATGGTTCTGGAGGCTAGGAAGTCTAAGATGGGGGGGCTGCATCTGGGGAAGGTCTTCTTACTGCATCATTTCATGGCAGAAGGCATCACATGGCAAGAGAGCAGAAAAGAACAAGAGAGAGAAAGATAGGGCTGAGCTTGCTTTTATCAGGAACCCACTCCCATGATAACAGCTTTAATCCATCCATGAGGACAGAGCTCTCACAGGCTAATTACATCTTAACAGTTCCCTTTTTAATATTGTCACAATGGCAATTACATTTCAACATGAGTTGTGGAGGGGACATTCAAACCATAGCAATAGGTATCTTGTTACTATGTCTTAAATTTATTTGGAAAATAAGGTTTTGGGGGGAGAATGACAAAAAGGGAGTCATATTGTGGCTTCTAAAGTAAGGACAATTTGCTCAATATGCCAGGTAGAAAGAGACGGTCCATTTGTTGAAACCTGCTAGATGATAGGCCACATGCTGGGCGCTTTCCTTGGTACACCTAGGTTCTTCCTCCTAACAATCATCTGAGGTGTTGCACAGGTTGGACAGTATGCCAAGGCCAGAACACTAGTCCCCAAAGCCTGAGCCCTTTCTAGAACCTTATGCTGTCTTGTCAGTACCACATACTGATCTGTTGACATTTGAGCTGTCTGGTAGAACTAAATAGAGAGTAAAGTAACTGAATGTACAGTTTAGTCCAGTTTTCATTTGGCCCAGCTACAGATACTTGAAAATGCCAATAACGTAAGTGAACAACTTGCCTAAAACCGTATGATAGTATTATTCCTATTAATTTGACTAAGCTGTGGAAATACAAGATTCACTATCCACACATACATACACAGACACACGGAGACACACACACACACACACACCCCACCACCACCACCACCACCGCTATGATACCATATACACAAAAACACACAGAATCCTTTGATTCTCATTCTTCTCCCTAAAACAGTTCAACTTCAAGCACATTGCTAAATGCAAAACTGATTATTTGGCAACTGAAGTAGTTTAGCCTGAGTTGCTAAGAGATCTGGTGCCTTAGAGATTCTCTTCTTAATTAGGCCCACAGATCTATTAATTCTATAGATGTGGTGCCTGCAAAGAAATGATCAGGTTTTCCAGAGCTGGTATCACAAATACGAAATGATAACATACAGGTATACATCACAAAGACTAAAGACCATAAGAAGATGGGACACTGGAACCAGGAACCAGGCTGCAGGGCCGCACTTCATTCCCACTCTGTGTTGCTGTGTGCTCTCCCTGGAATAGTCCCATGAAAGCATGTATTTCCCTGAACCTCTGACAGAGCAAGAGGTGAGTCATCAAAGTGAGAAAGGCCAAACCTTAAAGGCAAGAGCAGCTATAGAGGGGTTTGGGACATTGATAGAAGAACCACGAACCAGTAGTTTCATAATGGGCTAATCAGACCTGAGACCAAGCGAAGCTGTACCTCAAACCTCAGACCAATCTAGTGGGATAATGCTTGAGAATGTGGAACTGGGATCCTGCCCTTTCTCTCTTCTCCATCACTCCATAAGATTAAAAAATAATAATAATAACAATGTGCTTTTGATCGTTTCACCTCTTTCTCAAACTATTTTCTTCATTTATGAAAGCAGGCACTAAATGTAAGTGTGGGCTTCAGGCACAATCTTTGTGCAGTAAAATTAATTTGCACTGTCAGGTTTAATCTCAGTCTGTGAGAGACTTCCTTTGCCCCTTTCCTGAGGGCATGTGCACACACACTCACACTCACACCCCTACGGGCTCATTTGAAGAGAGGCTTTTGTCATCTGTTCGAATTTGAGATTCAAAAAGGTCCCTAAGATTTACAAAGGAAACATAGAGGGCAGGAAAGACAGAACTTGGACACCCCATGCCTAGAATAAGCCATGCAGCTCTTGCATCCCTGAGCAGAAAGCTCCAACACTTGGCCTGGATCTCTGGTCTCTTATGATTGACTTTGGACTTTGATCTCTTAGTCTCTTGTCCTTGAGGAAAGCAGAAGTATTTCCACATTCTTGTGGCCCCACATAAAGGCTTAGAAGGAATTCTGAATCATTTCCTATTGAGAATTGTAACACCAACATAGCAGGGGGAACATTAGTATTTAAAATATTCTCACAACAAGATTTAAATTTTCCTTTTGGTTGGTTCCAAATTTCCATTGACTCTAACTTTAATTATAAACTGAATAAAGACAGTTTTAGAAATTTCTACCTCAGAGTGATTTTTCCATTTCTGCCCTCTTACTTATTCTGGGGAGCTTGGGGGATAGCAGTGGTGCCAATGTTGAGTGAAAATTAAGCAACCTAATGAATTATTCCTTGTTAATAATGTCTCTGGCAGGTAATAGCCATTTTTATAGACTTTTTCTAGAGACAATGCCTTATCCAAAATAAATGATTCTAATGATTGTACTATAGTAGGCCAGTAAGGGAAAAGTCTAAGGACTTTGTAGTATACTTCAAATCCTATCATATAGATGGTAACATATTGCCTATGGATAAGCCAACTGTGGGCTTATGTACACAGAAAGCAGAGAAGGGAAAAAAACCTCATTAATCTCTATGTTGAACGCTAGTTTAAAAAAATCACTAAGCATTTAAATGATTCATTCCACTGAATGCTAAGTAAGAGGAAATCAACCTACTTTTTTATGGTCTTTGCTTCTGATTTACATCACAGCCTATGCTATAAGCCTTCCAGACACCAACTGAGATTATACCTGGTGGTTGCTCATCTCCTGGGTAATATGATCAATTTGGACAGTGGTTGTTTACAACTAGCCCTTTGTGACCAGCTAAGAACGAGATGATGGACTCAGATCACTAAAATGGGCAATCAGCAGCCCCTGGGAATAAAGCAACACGGCGTCTTTGTTGGCTTTGAATGCCCGCATTGAAATAGGATGATTTCACCTGGTGCAGCACCTCCCAAAAGATAGCATCTCCACCTCCCTGCTCATGCTCAAGTGCCTGCAGATGGAATTAGACTGGAATGTGCCACCAGAGAAAGGCGTGACTACACAGAATTTACAGATTTAAATAGACATGTTGTGAGATGCAAGTAAACGGATATTATGTGATGACAAGCACTGCCCTCCTAGACCTGATGCTCTGGTTGGGAAACGTTACTTGCCCACGTGAAACAACCAGAGAATACAAGAAAACCTAAAAACAGGTGCTAAATTGTACAGCAATAGACTATACACTATAAGCGAAGGTTAGGGACAGTCTTGTTTTATAGATAGGATTTGAGGTAAGTTCTGCTCTTAAAATTGAGAGATCCCCTGGAATGAGGCAGAAGGTTGGCTGGGGCTGGACCAAATGAGGTTAATAGATGGACTCTGCTTTTCTTTACTCCATTCATTCAACAACTAAATGAAAAGCCTCTACGTGCCAGGCAGTTTGCACTGTGGTGGGTATATGATTTGGAGCAAAACACAGAAACCCAGGAAAAACAATGAGTGAAATGAGAGACATTTAGGCATATGAAGTAAAGAAATATCTGGAAAACAGCCCTTCCTTCGCCATAAGAAATTTGTATTCTGTCACTCTCTGTCCATATACACTCTCTCTATATATATAGTAGGACAAATGCTGTTTCAGTAGCATTCTTATATATGATATTTGCCCTATTTACAAACAAGAAACAAAATAAGAATAAATCAAAGTGAAATTTTCTTCCTTGGCACATTACAGGTTTTTATTCTACAGTTAGTGGAAAACTTCTTTATTTCTAAACTGTATTTACCAGATAAATAATCACATAGCACTTGAATTCAAACCTTTGATCTAAATTTCCCAGATTCCTGAGACCAAAATGTTTTCAGAAAAGAGCTTGAAATGGTATAAAATATGAAGCATTTTCTTTATAATTGTATGGTATAGTAAAAAAAGTTTAGGAATTAGAATCAAAATACTAGTTTTGAGTGCTGGAAATACCACTAATTGACTATGATCTAGGCAAATTATTAATAATTTCTAAATCTCAGTTCCTCACCTGCAAAAAAATCCAAATGGCAGGATCATTGTAAGAACCAAATAAGATATTGTGGATGAAAGTGTGTCAGGAACTATAAACCATTATACCAATAGTTATTATTATTAACATCATCTTTGTAATAAAGGAGATGTGTATTATGTTACATAGTGTTTGGGTTATTTTTGTTTTGGTTTGGTTTTGTGTTTTTTTAGATCTCTTTCATTACCCAGCACAATGCTTGGCACATAGTAGATGACAAATGTTTGTTCAATGAAAGAATGAATAAAAAGATAATGCTTCTGACCATATATATTGACAGGATGTGTGCTTTGAATTACTTTTCTAGAAGTGGTGAAGAATCTTTGTAGAGCTGGTTAAGTGGATTTTCCGTGTGCGATCCTGGGATTTTTTTTTTTGTTTGTTTTCTTCTTTTCTGTAGCATACCAACTGACTCTGACTGGAATCAAACCTATGCCCTTAGTGTCTCAGGTAGCAGTTGCTCTAACCAAGGAAGTGAATCAATCCAGACTAAAGAGAAAAGATGATAGTATATACTGAGCCTAGTCCTATAGGCTACAATGTGTGCAGGCTTCATAGGCCCACTTTCTAAATGATGAGTAAGAAAATGGGGAGGCATTATTTGCCTCTTTAAGAAAAGCACATATAATGAGCTCACACTTTCACCTTCCACCCATCAAAACAGTGAGTCAGAGAATCACAGAATGCTGCTTTCTTCCAAAGTCCCTTGTATCCAGACTTTCAGACATATCGTACCCCTCACTTCCCTAAATTTTCACCTCTATGGAATGCACACAGACATATGGGTAAATCAACAACAACCCTCAAGGAAGCTATAACCACCCAGCGTGTACATTTTGCAACTCTTTCAACTCGCTTCCCATCCTGCCCATCCCCTACACAAATCAGGTTTGAATGCCCAGGCTTGTCACCTGGTATACAAAAATGCAGTCTAACACTGTATTTATTAGCAACCCTTTTCCCTTATGTTTAATTTATTGTTACATTTTTTAAATGTACAAACAGTTATACCAGTTTTATACACAAAACCACAGGTACCGTTTTGTATCTGTCAAAATTCCAGCAGCCTGTGGAGAGAGACAGTTGAATAGATGTCCTATGCTGCCATCTAGTGCTTTTGTCAAGACACGGACTTGTTCATTTTTCTGGAAATGAGGAAACAAAGGCAGCTCAAGGCACCCAAATTCTGGAAGAGCTACTGATATGCATTATTAAACAGATGCATTTATGACACTTGGACCACATTCCCTGGAACCAAGCAACTTAACTTGTTTTCACACAATGGCAGCTTACACCCCTGCTCTTGACTGGCAAAGCTCTGGCCTACCCTGGAGGCACCTGGTTTAAATCCAAACTGACTGGGCAAGCAAAATGCCCCTCTGAGCCCCTTTCTACAGCTCCCATCTGGCCAAGGTTCTCTTGGCATGTCTCTTCCTCCAGGAGGGACAGTTTTATCTGAATGACTTGCCTATTACTTCAATTCTGATAGAAGGCACAAAGGAGTCAGATGGCTTAAAAAAATCATTATCTTTAAAATTGACTAAAACAGCAGCCATTTTCCTTATAGTGGCCAAAAGTGAAGCTTCTGAATTTGTCTTGCTCCTCAGCTCACGGGATTTGTGTCACTCGTTAGATCCCAGATCCTTTTCTGAATCCCCCCCTTTATCTTTTCTTGGATCTCAAAAGTACCTTTCTTCTCCTCAATTAATCAATCAGCACATCTCTGTGTTGCACACACGCTATGCTAAAAGCACTATATCAGACACCGGTTAGTGGGTGGATAAATCAAATGAAAATAACCTTTCCATCTGCGTCTCTGATCACTTCCTGCCTCTGGCCTCAAAGAAGCTTCACCATCCGCCTCCTTGCTACTCTTTAACCCTTTCCTCTTTCATGCTTCTTTTTCTTTTCCTTTAACTATACACAAACCTCTCTTCTAGTTAAAATAAATATAAGAACTTTACTTGAACCCTCCACACTTTCCTGCTACCAGCAAATTTCTTCCTTCCGTGGTTGTATCTTTTTGTATTTTTATCTCAATGAAATGGAGAATTCACTAACCCAATATGCTAATCTCCCAATATAGAATCAACCGCCTAACAAATTAGACGGTGTCCTTCCAACAAGACAGAGTGAGTATCTGTTAGGGCTGCAGCTCCTGAACGTGACTCCTGAAATGGAGAGGAGGTTATCATAGATGACCTCTGAGTTCCTCTGATTTCGATTCTGTCCTTTCTAAACTTTATTTTATTATAGTCTCTACTTCTGCAGCCACTCCCTACTTAACCATGCCTGTAAACTCATGACTTTCTCAAAAGGAAGTTAGCCTCTCTAGATGATCAGATTCCATTCCCCCTTCTTGAATTCATTGCTTCGTCATGACACCCTGATTACAACCCTTTCTTGAAGCACTCTCTATTCTATTCGCCAATTCTATTTATCAAATACCTCATTGTTTCCAATGGTTTTACTGATTTCTTCTCTTCCCTTATTGAGGACTATATCTAAACTTGGATTTTGTCCATATCTATGTCTGTGACTTTACAAACACATTTACTCACTCCCACTGTATCTTCACACAATGCTTCATGATGACAGTGATGGTGATCATGATAATTTGATCACATAATTCCACTTCCACAAAGGTCTTAAATCTTCCATTTCTACTGTGATTTTTCAAACTCTTTCCAAGCCCATACCATCATTTATCCGCATAGCAGAATAGTTCTTCTTGGTTGTCCCATCAACACTATAATAGTAAACTTTGGATTCATGATTCTCACCCTCAAAATGGCATACTTCCCAAGTTTGTCCATTACTATCAATGGCAACACCATGGCCAATCTTCAGCTAAGCTGAGTATCTTAGATTCGTTTTGGAGTTATCCTTCTTTAACTCCTGATATTTAATCTTTCCCCAAGACTTGCAAATTCCTTCTTCTTTATTTCATTCAAATATGCATCTTTATTTCCACTTCAGCAACCAGTTTACGATGAGGTTAAATCCTCATTGCCTTATGCCTGGGTTGCAGAGAAACTTCTAGGGCAGCTCTCCTAGCTTCCAGTTCCACTCCTGTACCAGTTCCTCTTACAAAGAAGTTTGGGTAGTCTTTCAACCAGTTTGCTGTCACGTAGCTTACCTGTTAAAAGTCATAATAGCTTCTTATTGCCTCTCAATATCACATCCATTTCTGTAGCCACACACATTCAAGGCCCTTCTCCAACTACATTTCATTTTCTTTCACTCGCTCCCTGAACGTGTCCCAAGTTCCAGTCAAATTCACTTTTCTAGCATTCTCTGCACAGGAATATTTTGCACACAACAGTCTTTCCCTCTGGAATGCTCATTCACTCCTTCCAAAAACTAGGTCTTATTAATTTCTCAAAATGCACACACACCTGATGGCAATCTAAGATGGATAACATCTGTCTTTGATCTCTCTTCTACTCTGAGATCCTCCTCAGTGGTCGCACTTTCAGGGAAATCTGGATGCTCATAAAAAGAATGTGAACAAGCCATTGTTTGATGGCCTCCATGACCCCAGTAGATAGATGGTTTCTGCTTTCTGGCCTACGTGCATGTTGTTGTGCCTTACCAGGAGAGCCACATGATGTCCAATTTATGTGGTTTGCTGCTGAGGCTGGATGCCCATGTCGTTTTCAGATTAGGAAGTTTTCTGGAATAGGATCTTCCATTATACCCTAGATGAGTGATGAAGATGAAGTAAGAGGACAATCCAAGAAGAACTTTTTGACATTGTGATTAATGCATCAATTTTGACAAAATCATTTTGATGTAGCTACTTTGACATCAAAATGGCACTTTCAATATGTAAGATCACTATTTTTCTTGTCATTACTAATTAACATGCAAAATCAATATCCTTGATCTTTACTACACTCTTAACTGTCAACATAATGTGTATTTTAAAACACTGAAAGTCAGAGGCTAAAATATTATGTCAAAACCATGTTTCCATGACAAAAAGTTCCTAGCATCAAAATGACTGTGCCAAAGCAGCCAGGTGTAAATCTCATGACAGAATTGCTTTGGGGTGAACTGGTGAGTATGGTATGAGAGGTGACAACAGAGCTCTGAGGAGAAGGCAGTAACATATCCATGGGTCTCAACTGGTAGCACAGACACCCAAGAGGAATCATGGCCAGTAGATATGGTTCTCAATGGAGAAGGTATTAGAGGTAGACTCGTAAGTCACTGGTCCC